>NW_021160028.1:0-28824 GCF_000001405.40 Homo sapiens | reverse complement strand
TAGTGAGATCTTCAAAAGCTGATCTCTTTTTGAGTGCTCCCTGAAGTGAAGATGGAGACTCCTGAAGTGAAGATGGAGATATCTTCGTTTGGCAATTCTCCCCCGTCTAAAAAAGTAAAAGAGGTAAATGAGTATATCCAATTGTGAACAGTCTCTTCAGGGACTTTGGGTCCTCTTTAGGGCTCAGGGGAACTCCAGAACCTCAGAGTAACTGAGGATGCATATAATAAACCCCAATAAACTATAACAAAAGGAAATTATGGCACTCAGAGCTGTTTATTAAGTCCCTAAAGGTGGTAGACATTGTTAATGGGGTACGTCTACAAGGAGGCAAGATGACCTTCAGTGTAACTCACAAAATGAGCAAAGTGTAGCTCAGTAAAGCTCATTTCTCCTCTTACTTCTCTCATACTTACGGTTATCCTATCCAAGGTAGACCACTACCACCCCTACCATTCCTAGTCATTCCTTTAATATAGATGTTTCAGGTAGATCAGTTTAATAATTTAACAAGTATCTAAGTGTCTCTTATGTTAAGCAGCTTTTTCAGGTAGATCAGTTTAATAATTTAACAAATATCTAAGGGTCTCTTATGTTAAGCAGCTTTTAAAACAGCGGTCCCTAACCTTTTTGGCACCAGGGACTGGTTTCATGGAAGACAAATTTTCCACGGACACTGGGGTGGGCTGGTTTTGGGATGATTCAAGCACATTACATTTATTGTGCACATTTATTATTACATTGTAATATATAATGAAATAATTATATAACTCGCCATAATGTAGAATCAGTGGGAGCCCTGAGCTTGTTTTCCTGCAACTAGATAGTCCCATCTGGGGGAAATGGGAGACAGTGACAGATCATAAGGCATTAGATTCTCATAAGGAGCGCGCAACCTTGATCCCTCGCATGAGCAGTTCACAATAGGGTTCATGCTTCTATGAGAATCTAATGCCACTGCTGATCTGACAGGAGGTGGAGCTCAGGAAGTAATATGAGCGATGGGGAGTGGCTATAAATACCGATGAAGCTTTTCTCACTCACTGCTCACCTCCTGCTGTACAGTTGGGTTCCTAACAGGCCACAGACTAGTACTGGTCCATGGCCCAGGGGTTGGGGACCCGTTTTAAAAGACATTACCAGTAAGGATAATAGCACACACATCTAGATACTGCTCCATGGCCCAGGGGTTGGGGACCTGTTT
The DNA here is from genome assembly GCF_000001405.40 of Homo sapiens. Lineage (NCBI taxonomy): Eukaryota > Metazoa > Chordata > Mammalia > Primates > Hominidae > Homo > Homo sapiens. Next base: position 27,620 of record NW_021160028.1, on the reverse strand, counting down.
TAAAAGACATTACCAGTAAGGATAATAGCACACACATCTAGATACTGCTCCAGGATCAGCTCTTTACTAACTGTTGACCTTGGACAAGTAACTTAATCTCTAATCCTCAATTTTCTTATCAGTAAAGCTGGATAACTTGCCTTACAGTCCTTGAAGATTAAATAAGACAATACATGTTTTTTAAAAGTTCGTATGAACTGTAAATGGGCAGAAATAGTATTTAAAATAATGTAGTCTGATATGATTGTAAACCTCACAAGGAAAATTTTATATTAAAAACAAAGTTTAGTAATCCAGATTAATCTCTGATTGTTAGTATATATAAAGGAGGGGCCGGGGAAGGGAAGGGGGATGAATATTTTAAAGCAGAAGGGGCTTTTTTCCCACATATTCTGTGTCTGTGCTTGCCTTACCCCATTCCCAAATGAGTAAGACCATCTCTATAGGGTTAGAGGTTAGGGCAAACCACACTATAGGAGTCTTCTACCCTCTAACAACTTTATGTGGTAAAAATCTCCTAAGTCTCAGACTGCCCTTATGAAATTCTGAAAACAAACCCGCCCTACCTGTGTCAGAGAGCTGTTATAATGTGAAGCAGGACACTGGGATCAGACCATTTGCTCTGTTCTCCAGCTGTACCATTAACACTTAATACATGGCACAGTAAGTTACCAGAATTGGATTCATGACACAATAAACCAATCCAGCAGAGAGAGCAATCTTAAAAGAGCTGGAGCCCGACGCGGCGGCTCACGCCTGTAATCCCAGCACTTTGGGAGGCTGAGGCGGATGGATCATGAGGTCAAGTGATTGAGACCGTTCGGGCCAACACGGGGAAACCCCGTCTCTATCAAAAATACAAAAATTAGCTGGGCGCGGTGGCGCATGCCTGTAGTCCCAGCTACTCAGAAGGCTGAGGCAGGAGAATTGCTTGAACCTGGGAGGCAGAGGTTGCAGTGAGCCGAGATCGTGTCACTGCACTCCAGCCTGGTGACAGAGCAAGACTACGTCTCAAAAAAAACAAACAAACAAACAACAACAACAACAACCAAAAAAAAAAAAAAAAAACCGAACTGAGGGCCAGGCACTGTGGCTCAGGCCTGTAATCCCAATCCCAGCACTTTGGGAGGCCGAGGCGGGTGGATCACGAGGTCAGGAGTTCAAGACCAGCCTGGCCAAGATGGTGAAACCCCGTCTCTACTAAAAATACAAAAATTAGCCGGGCATGGTGGCAGGCGCCTGTAATCCTAGCTACTCAGGATGCTAAGGCAGGGAATTGCTTAAACCCGGAAGGTGGAGGTTGCAGTGAGCCGAGATCGTGCCACTGCACTCCAGCCTGGGTGACTGAGCAAGACTCCATCTCAAAACAAAACAGAACAAGCTGAGAAGAATTACTTCCATTTTCTAATTGATTAAGCCAAGACATAAGTAAGCTATTAGTCTTTCATCTAGCTGATGATAAATAATCCCACTAGAAATTAGCCAAAAATGAAACATTATTTTCTCAGAAATTAGCTAAGAAATAAACTGTTATCCAATTCCTATTTAATATTACTGATAGAAATAATTGACCCCAAATAAAATTATAGCTGAAACTGAACTCAATAAAACTTAGATTTGCAAAATGTACTCCAAGAAAGTTGGTTTTGGAAAAATAATTGCCACTAAAGAAAAGTTACAATGGCAGAACACTAATCCGAAAATTTGATGTTGACAAAAATCTGATCAATATATCAAATCTTTCTCGAAAAATTTACATAGGAAAAAATTTGGCACCTCGCTGAAAATCATTTTAGTAAAATAAGCAAGATTAGAAAATGTTTATCTGTGCTCAGAGAAAACCAATCAAGGAAATTAAATTCACCTAATGATGTTTTGCTCCAGGAAATACTCTCTTGATGCCAATTCATCAGTGCTAGTATAATTCTGATTAAAATATGTATGATGATGAACACAGAATATCCTAAGGTTAGAACATCAAACTATCAATAAAGTCAAAACAGCAGAGTCAAAATATACCCATTCTTCAAATTTAATAGCTATAAAAAGCATAATAATATATGTGCTGATATAATCTTCATACTCTCCCCAGAATGTACCAGTCTTTCAGCAAGGTGCTTGGAGCTTCTCAGAGAAAGTAAGAATATAGACATGATCATTAATGAGGACTGAGTGTTGTTCAGTTTTGAGGGTTATGGAGGGTGGCCTTCATTTGAGCCCTGCATTTATGGGAATGAAGAGTCCATACTTTCTCCCCAAGTTCTAATTTGCTGGCATTCTCCAATACAAGGGCTGCCACCCCTCCCCACTTTCTCAGGTTAAACCAGACATATTTCAAAAGACTCACAGGTGAGGATAGGTACTGAGCCAACACAGGAAGAGACTACCAAAGATATTGTTGGGAAAGACAGCTTGCTCTAACCTTTTCAGATGGGTCATGATGACTGGGCACAATTTTGCTGGACTGAGATTTCTTAGGCACAGGTTTGGAGCTCTGGGGTGGTAGTGGCAGTAGCATCACTTAGAGATTCAGCTGCGTCTTGTCCAAGGCAGGGCTGTAATCAGAAAGAGGCTCTTTAACACCATTCACCAGAAACACGATAAATTCTCTGAAAATTCTTGAGAAAACCCAGTCTATCTATAGCATCCCTAGGAGAAAACAGATTTTGATGTTGGGAAGATCTGGATTCAAATCTTGGTTTTATCACAATTAACCTCAGGCAAGTGACTGACTTAAAATCTCTGGGCTTCAGTTACCTCATCTGTAAAATGGAGATAAGTATACCTACCTCTGCAGGGTGTTGTTCAAATTAAATGAGACACTTTATGTAAAAAGCCAAGCACAGTGCCTACCATCCTCTGTGAACGCTGGGATGTTGTCTAGCCCCTAGTTTAGGCCTAGCAACACTGGGGACAAATTACATAGGAGTTTTGCATTGAAAACAAGGAAGAACATGACAGCTCATATAGTATGGAGGCAAGCTGGTAGAGCCAATGTTCTTAAAAGGCATGGGGTCCTGGCAAAGCAATTATGACCCTACAGAGAAAACAATAACTGCACACACATGTATTCGCGATAGGCCAGGCAGTATTCAAAGGCTGCGTTCAATCAGAAGAAACTGTAATCCAGTTCCAGACACCTGGAAGGAACAAAAAATTCAAAAGATGAGATTATAGCAAAATAAACTAACTTATTAAAAAATCATTTGACATAAGAACTTGATCTTGGATTTCCCAGCCTCCAGAACTGTGAGAACTAAATGCCACCCAGTCCATGGCACTTTATAGCAGCGCAAACTAAGTGCTATAGAAACATAATGATTAGTAACTTCACACCAAATGACAGAAGGCAGTGAAACACCGTTTACATAGTTTCTAGGGAAAAAGATTTTTCACCTAGAATTCTATACTTTACCAATTATGCAGATGTGAGGGCAAACTAAAATTACCTAAGGACGAAGATGGTGAAGGAGTAGGGGGAAGAGAAAGGAAGATGGAGGAGAAACAGAAAAATGAGAAAACAGTTGAAAAGTAAGCAGTTGAGCAAAGAAACCAATAAAATATATGGCTAAATCTAAGTAAAGGTTGATAATGTGTCTGTGATGCTTAATATGACTGCTAAAAATGTATTCCTGAAGTATTTTGATAGAGGCAAAATGTTTTTTAAAAAATCCAACTACCTGGAAAAATACAACTAAAATTCTTTTATAGACTTTGTTCAAGGAAAAGGATAGAAATAATGATTAAATCATAATAAAATTTATATGTGTCTGTCATGCCAAACTAAAAAAAAAAAAGAAAAGAAAAAAGAAACATAATGGAAAGCCAGTAATCTTGTTGGGGACAGGGGCTGGAGGAAGGCTTCACAAAGGAAGTAACATGTGATCAGGACTTAAAATGACAAACAGGTTCCCAAGTTGACTGGGAGGTTTCCAGGCAAAGAAAGCCGAGCCCAGGCAGAGGCATGAACATACAGAATTCAGGGATGTCCTAGTTGTCTGGAGTAGGGAGCATAAATAACATGTTGGGGAGGGGTTAAAATGAGGCTGAAAAGCTAGGCTGGGGCCAGGCTGGTAAGAAAAGGAAACAGAAAAGTCTGCAGCTTGAGGGGAAAGTTTAAGAAAGGAGAAAGCCTGATTTGGGTTTCGCTTTGGATGGAGAAGGATGAAACATTTTGTAGGTCAGGAAAAGCCAGTATAAGTATATGCATTCACATGTTACCTCAGTTGATTCTCACAACAAAACCATAAGGCTAAGCAAGGCAGGTACAATTCTATTTTACAGTCTCAGATGAGTTAAGTAACTTACTACCCAGGACAAACTATTAAGGGGCATAGACTGCCCAGCTTTTTCCCAGGCAGTTTCTAAAATACCATGAAGTCTCTTCGATCACACTCAAAAATATTCCAAAACAGTGAAAGGCCATAGTATGAGGAGGTAGAATGAGCACAGGTCTTGGAGTTTGAATAACTGGACTTCTAAGCCAGCCAACTTAGCATTTCTGAGCCTCAGTTTCCTCATTTTCAAAACAGCTATAACACCACTTACTTGCAGAGGACTTGTGTGGCTCAGATGCAAATTTACATGTACAAAACCTGATGCATGGCAGGCATTTAATAAATACTGTCTTACTCCCCTCTTCTTCTATCAAATCCAAACCTATATTCCATCTCATTCCTCAAACCTCAGCCAAGCAGCAATAAAGCTAAATTGGGTGCACCCACTGTTAACTGCACTGTATGAAAATCACTTACTCCACTATTATTATTTACGCCTCATAATTTTTTTTTTTATGGATGACCAAAGACTCACACTCTGAAACATTTACCTTTTAAAAGGAAAAAGAAATACGGAGCCCACAGGCTAGAAAACTCTCAGCTGATAACATACAGGTTAACTAAATCTCAGAGAAAATAAGGTTATTTAAATGATGGTCATATACCCCATTTATTATCGTGAACACTAATCATTTGCATTGAGGGACAGATGCACTGACTTAGGTAAACTAATTTTCCCAGGGAGAAGGGGAGGAGAGGGGATTGACACTATCAAAAAGATCCTTTCATAAAAGGACACTCTCTGCGGAACACTCTCAACTTCTGCCACCTACAGAACCCTGAGCCTTGGGCAAGAAAATTAGAATCCTTTCCCCTTTTCAGACTTTCCATGTCCCCTACATACACACTGGTAAGTGTTGCAGACTCCACTGGACCTCCCAGGGCTGGTGCTGAAACAAACAAAGGGGCAGCAGGGCTAAGCTGATCAAAACAGTCTACAGGAAGTAGTAGCAACTTCATTTTTTATATAAAGGCAGGTTACAGACAGCAAGGCTCTGGGGAGAGAACACAGCATTGTGTCAATAAAACAGCACTGGGCTGGGAAGGATGCCTAAGGTCTAGTTCTGGCTCTGCTCTTAGTTGGCTGGGTGACACTGGGCAAGTCCCTTTCCCTCTCTGGGACCCAGTTTTCCCACCCAATAAAACGAAGCAGTGGAACTAGAGCCTCCTCGCTATTCAATGTGGTCAATGGACAAGCAACATTAGCATCACCTGGAAATTTGTTAGCAATTTAAAACCTCAGGCCCCAAACTAGACCTATCAAATCAAAATCTGCAAATTAACAATATCCCCAGGTGATTTTTATGCACGTTAAGATTTAAGCGCCGCTGTTCTAGGGTCCCTTCTACCTGATCTTCTACGATTCTAAGCGTAGCAGAGGGTGGTGAGAAAGCCAAAGCTGAAGGTGGTTGCCGGTGGGAACAGAAAAGAGCCAGTGAAGATAAAGGGTTAACAATAGAGTGAGGACACGTGTCCATCCTCCCTTCATATCCTTCAACCTGTAGCTCAAAAGACATGCTGCAAGTAGCATTCTATGACTTAAATATGTCTGATCCCTCTGCACTTGTAGATGAAATTAATCCTGCACACTTTCACTTGTGAAAAGACGTTTTGTAAAAGTACTCTGATTCAGGCACGTGTACTAATTGCTCCATCTAAAAGCTGGGACCCAGTCTCATTTGCTTTGCCATCTCACTCCTTAACAAACACTCCCCCTGCCCAATCTTGTACAGAGCTCACTCCACAGGCTGCTGATCGACAGGAGATTGAAAAGTTTCCTTACAGGAACGCCGCGCATCCCAGCAACAGAATTCAGCAAGGGGCTGGAGTGACGCCCAAGGACCCACTGGCAGGCGACAGAGCCGGACGCTGGAGCCAGCAGTACTTGCCCAAAGGCGCCTACCTCACACCGAGATCGAGGACAGACAGCAAAGACCATCGACGCACCCCTAGACCAGGAGAGGCCAAGGAAATGAACGGAGCTCCTTACTATAGCGACTCGAGTCCGTCTCAACCTGACACCTGCGACCCTCCACCAGCCCAGTTGGGATTTTGAAAACTACAGCCGTCATGAAGTGCAGTGGTGATTGGCCAGCAGAGGACCAATCAGCGTGCACAGCTGCGACACGCGAAAGCCTAACAGGAAGGGGTGGAGCTGGGTATTTTAAAATCCAACTCTGCCTCTGAAGGACCTCGCAGTAGGGTGTTGTTTCTGGTATAATTGGTTGGACCAGGCTGGGCTGACACGCAGGGAGTATCGGGTCTCTTTAAAGACGAGTTTTTGGCCAGGCGCGGTGGCCTACTCCCGTACTCCCAGCTCTTTGGGAGAGCGAGTTGGGGCGGATCGCTTGAGGACAGGAGTTGGAGATGAGCCTGGGCAACATGGAAAAACCCCATCTCTACAAAAGATACAAAAATCAGTCGGAGCGTAGTGGCGCGTACCTATAGTCCCAGCCACTTGGAAGGCTGAGGTGGTAGGATCACTTGAGCCCGGGAGGCAGAAGTTGCAGTGAGCAATGATTGTGCCACTGCTCTCCAGCCTGGGTGACAGACTGAGACCCTGTCTCAAAAAAATAAAATAAAAGACGCGTTTTCATTTAAATAACCTTGCCAGAGGATGGGAAGAGCAGAGCAGCTGTATGATGCAGGTACGGGCCTATTAAAACATTAATATTAATAACCACTTATAGAGTCAAGCACTAATTCCTGCAGGCTTCACAAATAGCCTTGTGAAGGAAGCAAGGCAGAAGTTACTGCCCCTATTTTGTGAATGAGGACCCAAAGTGCAGAGAGCTAATAGTAGTTAAGTTAATTCAAAACGTGCTACCTACTATAAAATTTTTTATTGCTTTAAATCCTGTCCTAAAACAAGATCCTTGTATTATTGCCATTTTACAGATGACAAAATTGTACTTTGCTAATAGCTCAATATCTCATTCATTTCATTCATACATTAGTTTGTTTAACAAACATTTATTAATCACCTGATTTGTGCCAGGAACTAGAATATAGGTATATTTAAATCTATATTCTATATATATATTTATATCTATATTCTATACATATATTTATATCTATATTCTATATAGATATTTATATCTATATTCTATACATATATTTATATATATTCTAAAAATATATTTATATGTTCTATATATATTTATATATATATTCTATATATATTTATATATATTCTATATATATTTTTACATATATTCTATATATATTTATATATTCTATATATATATTTATATGTATTCCATATATATATTTATATATTCCATATATATTTATATATATTCTGTCTATATATTTATATATATTCTATATATTTATATATTCTATGTATATATTCATATATTCTACATATATTATATATATACTCATATATTCTATATATATTATAAATACATATTTATTCTATATATATTTTTATATATATACACTATATATTTATATATACTATATATATTTTATATATAGTATATATATTTTATATTTATAAAGTATATGTATTTATATAAATACCATATATATTCTATATATAGTATATATTTACATATATGAATATACATATTCATATATATTTACATATATGAATATACATAATCATATATATTTACATATATGAATATACATATTCACATATATGTTTGCATAGATGAATGTACATATTCATATATTTACATAGATGAATGTACATATTCATATATTTACATAGATGAATGTACATATGCATATACATTTACATATGAATATATATTTATATATAGAAAATATATATTCATATATTTATATATATGAATATATATTCATATATCTTTATATGAATAAATACATTCATATATATTTATATATGAATATTTCATATATTTATATATTTATATATATTTATATATTTATATATATATTTATATATATTTATATATTTATATATTTCTATATGAATATACAAAATATTTCATATATTTATATATTCATATAAATATCCTATATTCATATATATATTCATATATATTTAAATATATATTAAATATAAATATTCATATATATTTATATATGAATATGTATATATTCTCTATATATTTATATATAGTATATATATTCATATATATTTATATATGAATATATATACTCTATATATTTATATATAGAGAATATATTATATTCATATATATATAGAATATATATATTCTATATATTTATATATGAATATAATATATTCTATATATTTATATATGGAATATATATTAATATATATTTATATATGTTCTATAAATATATTCTATATATATTCAATATCTATATTCTATAAATATATTCTATATATAAATATATATATTCTATATGTATTTATATATACTACATATTTACATATATTCTATATATATCTATATATTCTATATACATTCTATATATTCTATATATATTCTGTATATATATTCTATATATATTCTGTATATATATTCTCTATATATATTCTATATATACATATTTATATATATATTCTTTATACATTTTATATATACATATTCTATATAGATATTTATATATATATTCTATATAGATATTCTATATATAGATATTCTATACATTTTATATAGATATTCTATATATAGATATTCTATGTATTCTATATATATTCTATATATATAGATATTCTATATATTCTCTATAGATATTCTATATATATAGATATTCTATATATTCTATGTAGATCTTCTATATATATAGATATTCATATATTCTATACAGATATTCTATATATAGGTATTCTATATATTCTATATAGGCATTATATACAGATATTCTATATATTCTATATAGATAATCTATATATAGATATTCTATACATAGACGTTCTATATATAGATGTTCTATATATAGACGTTCTATATACAGATGTTCTATATATAGACGTTCTATATACAGATGTTCTATATATAGACGTTCTATATACAGATGATCTATATATAGACGTTCTATATACAGATGATCTATATATAGACGTTCTATATACAGATGTTCTATATATAGACGTTCTATATATAGATGTTCTATATATAGACGTTCTATATATAGATGCCGTATATATAGATGTTCTATATATAGATGTCCTATATATAGATGTTCTATGTATAGATGTTCTATATATATATTTTATATATAGATGTTCTATATATAGATATACTATATATATTCATATACAGATATTCTATATATATTCTAATATAGATATTCTATATATATTCTAATATAGATATTCTATATATATTCTATATATAGATATATTCTACATATATATCTATATATAGATATATTCTACATATATATCTATATATAGATATATTCTACATATATATCTATATATAGATATATTCTACATATATATCTATATATAGATATTCTATATATAGATATATATTCTATATAGATATCGATATATAGAATATCTATATATTCTGTATTTATATATATTTTCTATATATATATTCTATATAGAATATATATAGAATTCTATACAGAATATATATATTCTAGATATATATCCTAGATATATATTTATGCATATGTCCTAGATATATATTTATACATATATCCTAGATATATATTTATATATATATCCTAGATATATATTTATATATAAATTCTACATATATATTTATATATATTCTAGATATATATATTCTTGATATATATATTCTAGATATACATTCTAGATATATATTTACATATACATTCTAGATATATATTTACATATAAATTCTAGATATATATTTACATATATTCTAGATATATATTTACATATATATTCTAGATATATATTTATATATATATTCTAGATATATATTTATATATATTCTAGATATATATTTATATATATTCTAGATATATATTTATATATATATTCTAGATATATATTTATATATATTCTAGATATATACTTATATATATTCTAGATATATACTTATATATATTCTAGATATATATTTATATATATATTATATACATTTATATATATTCTATATATATTTAAATATATTCTATATATATTTATATATTCTATATATATATTTACATATTCTATATATATATTCTATATATATTCTATATATATATTTAGATATTTTCTATATATATTCTTTATATATATTTATATATATTCTATATATATTTTCTATATATATTCCATATATATTTATATGTATATTCTATATATAATATATATTTCTATATATTCTATATATATCTATATATATTCTATATATATCTATATATTCTATATATGTCTATACATATTCTATATATATATTTTATATATATTTATGTATTCTATATATCTGATATATATATTTATATGTATATTCTATATTTATATTTTATATATATTTATGTATTCTATATATATAATATATATATTTATATGTATATTCTATATATATATTTATATGTATATTCTATATATATATTTATATGTATATTCTACATATATATTTATATGTATATTCTATATATATTTATATGTATATTCTATATATATTTATATGTATATTCTATATATATTATATGTATATTCTATATATAAATATATCTATTCTACATATATATTTATATATGTATTCTATATATATTCTATATATATTCTATATATATATTTATATATATTCTATATATTTATATATATTCTATATATTTATATGTATTCTATATATTCTATATATATTCTATATATTCTATATATATTCTATATATATATTTATATATTCTATATATATTTATATAGTCTATATATATTTATATATATTCTATATATATTCCATATATATTTATATATATTCTATATATATATTTATATATTCTATATACATTTGTGTATATATTCTATATACATTTGTGTATATATTCTATATGCATTTGTGTATATATTCTATATGCATTTGTGTATATATTCTATATGCATTAGTGTATATATCTATATATGTGTATATAATCTATATATGTGTATATATTCTCGGTATATATTTACGTATATATTGTCTCTATATATTTACATATATATTCTCTATATATATATTTACGTATATATTCTCTCTATATATTTACGTATATATTCTCTCTATATATATTTACGTATATATTCTCTCTATATTTACGTATATATTCTCTATATATTTACGTATATATTCTCTCTATATATACGTATATATTCTCTCTATATATGGTTACATATATATTCTCTATGTATATATTTACGTATATATTCTCTCTCTGTACATTTATGTATATATTCTCTCCATATATATTTACGTATATATTCTCTCTATATATATTTACATATATATTCTCTCTGTATATATTTACTTATATATTCTCTCTATATATATTTATGTATATATTCTCTCTATGTATATTTACGTATATATTCTCTCTATATATTTATGTATATATTCTCTCTATATATTTATGTATATATTCTCTGTATATATATTTATGTATATATTCTATATATATTTACGTATATATTCTATATAAATATTTATGTATATATTGTATATATATTTTTATGTATATATTCTCTCTACATATATTTATGTATAGATTCCCTATATATATTTATGAATATATTCTGTATATATATTCCATATATATATTTTATATATATTCTATATGTATTTTTATATATATTTTTATATATTTATATATATTCTACATATATATATTCTACATATGTATATTTATATATATTCTACATATAAATTTATATATATTCTATATATATATTTTTGTATATTCTATATATATTCATTTATATATTCATATATACTTATATATATTTATATATACTTACATATATATTTATATATAGATATATATTTATAGATATTGTATGTATATATTTATATATACTATGTATATATTTTTATATATATGCTATGTATATATTATATATATATTCTATGTATATATTTATATATTCTATATATATTTATATATGTATATTCCATATAAATATATTTTTATATATTCTATATATATATTTATATATATTCTACATATATTTATATATATATTCTGTGTATATTTATATATATATTCTACATATATTTATATGTATTTATATATATTCTATATATATATTCTATATATATATTCTACATATATATTCTACATATATATTCTAGATATATATTCTATATATGTATTCTATATATATTCTATATATATATTCTATATATCTATTCTATATATATATTCTATATATGTATTCTATATATATATTTCTATATATTCTATATGTTTCTATATTCTATATATATTCTTTATATATATTCTATATATATTCTATGTATATATTCTATATATATTCTATATATATTCTATATATTCTATATATATTCTATATGTATATTCTATATATATTCTATATATTCTATATATATTATCTATATTCTATATATATTCTATATATTATCTGTATTCTATATATATCTTCTATATATATTCTATATAGATATAACCTCTATACATATTCTATGTAGATATATCCTCTATACATATTCTATATAGATATATCCTCTATATATATTCTATATAGCTATATCCTCTATATATATTCTACATAGATATATCCTCTATATATATTTATGTAGATATATCCTCTATATATTATGTATATATATCTTCTATATATGTATGTATATATATTCTCTATATATGTATTCATATATATTCTCTATATATGTATTTATATATATTCTACATATGTATTTATATATATTCTATGTATTTATATATATTCTATGTATGTATTTATATGTATTCTATGTATAAGTATTTATATATGTATTCTATGTATATGTATTTATATATGCATTCTATGTAGATATTTATATATATATTATGTATATATTCATATATTATTTATATATTCTCTATATATTATATATATTCTCTAAATATTTATATATATATTCTCTCCATATATTTATATATATATTCTCTCTATATATATTCTCTCTATATATTTATATATATTCTCTATATATATTTATATATATTCTCTCTATATATTTATATATATATTCTCTCTATATATTTATATATATTCTGTCTATACATTTATATATATTCTCTCTATATATTTATATATTTTCTCTCTATATATTTATATATTCTCCATATATATTTATATATTCTCTATATATATTTATATATTCTCTATATATTTATATTTATTCTCTATATATATTTATATATATTCTCTATATATATTTATATATATTCTCTCTATACATATTTATATATATTATCTCTCTATATATTTATATATATATTCTCTCTATATATATTTATATATATATTCTCTCTATATATATTTTTATATATATTCTCTCTATATATATGTATTCTCTCTATATATATTTATATATATATTCTCTGTATATATATTTGTATGTTATCTCTCCATATATTTGTATTTATATCTCTCTCTATATATTTATATATATTCTCTCCATATATATTTATACATATATTCTATATATATATATTCTGTCTATATATATTTAGATATATATTCTCTATATATATTTGTATATATTCTCTGTATATATTTATAAATATTCTCTGTATATATTTTTATATATATCTATGTATATATTTATATATATTCTGTGAGTATATTTATATATATATTCTGTGTGTATATTTATATATATTCTGTATGTATATTTATATATATTCTGTACATGTATTTATATATATTCTGTATATATATTTATATATATATTCTGTATATATATATTTATATATATATTCTGTATATATTTATATATATTCTCTATATATATTTATACTTATATTCTATATATATATTCTACATATATTGTATATATATTCTATATATTTTTGTATATATTCTATATATTTGTATGTATATTCTATATATTTATATATATTCTTTATATTTGTATATATATTCTATATATTTGTATATATTCTATATATTTGTATATATATTTTATATATTTTCTATATATTTATATATTCTATATATATACTATATATATTCTATATATATACTATATATATTCTATATATATACTATATATATTCTATATATATACTATATATTCTATATATATACTATATATTCTATATATATTCTATATATTCTATATATATTCTATATATATACTATATATATTCATGTATATATTTATATATACTCTATATATATATTCTATGTACATATTCATATATATATTCTATGTACATATTCATATGTATATTCTATGTACATATTCATATGTATATTCTGTGTACATATTCATATGTATATTCTATATATATTTATAGATATGTTCTATATATATTTATAGATATATTCTATATATATATTTATAGATATATTCTATATATATATTTATAGATATATTCTATATATATATTTGTATGTATTCTATATATATTTATATATATATTCTATATATATATTCATATATTCTATATATATATCTATATATTCTATATATATATTTTTATATATTCTATATATATTTATATATATTCTATATATATTTATATATATTCTATATATATTTTTATATATTCTACATATATATTCTATATATATTTTTATATATATTCTATATATATATTTTTATATATATTCTATACATATTTTTATATATATTCTATATATATATTTCTATATATATGTTTATATATTTCTATATATATATTCTATATATATAAATATATATATTCTATATATATAAATATATATATTCTATATATATAAATATATATATTCTATATATATAAATATATATATTCTATATATATTTATATATCTATATATGTATATTCGATATATATTCATATATATAGAATATATATTTATATATATCGAATATATATATATTTATACATATTCTATATATATTCATATATATTCTATATATATTCGTATATATTCTATATATATTTGTATATATATTCTATATATATATTTTTGTATATATTCTATATATATTTATATATACATTCTATATATATGATCCCAGGTCCTCTTGTCTTTTTAATCTCCCTAGGTTATCTCATCCAGATATATGACTTTAAATATCATCTAAAAGCTGGCCCTAAACTCCAGTTTCATGAATCCAAATTACTACTCCACATCTCCACTTGGATGTCTAATAGACACCTCAAATTCAGCATGTTCACAATAGAACTTTGAATTGTCAAGCCCCTCCCCAAACCTGATCGTTTTCTCAGTATCCCCCCTTTCAGAAATTGATACCACATCAAACCTTTTATTGAAGCCAGAAAGCTGGGTATCGTCTATGATTCTAACTTTTTTCCATCACCTTTGTTTATTTGACCTCAAAATATATCTGTATTTGTCAATGTATCTCCATCTCCGCTGCCACCTAGGCTCTTATTTGGCTCACTGTCAAGAGCCTCAAAGCTTTTTTCCCGTTTCCAAAATTTACCTTTCTCTGATACAAATACAACACAACAACAAGAGCAATCTTTTTAAGAAGGAAAAATGGTATCGTGTCCCTCCCTTCTTCAGTAATTTCCCACAGAATTTAAAATAAAAATCCTAACTACCTACCCTGGTCTACAAGGTCCTGCCTACGTCATGAACCTCACTTCATAAACTGCATTTTGCATTCCCTGCTCTCCAACCATAATAGTCTTCTTTCAAATATTTGAATTTACCAAACTCTCTGTACCTGGTATTTTTGTACAAGATGTTCCCGCAGCCTGGAACATTCTTCCCTCTATTTTTGAAATTGCAAGTTTTTTCTCAAGGATCAAGTCTCAGCTTAAACGTCCCCTCTTCAGAGAGGCCTTCCCTGCCCATGTTATTTAAAGGAGGATTCTTCTCCCACTCCATTATACTCAGTCCCTTAACTTTTTAAGGAGTAATACTGCAATTTGTAATTTTTAATTTCTCAAGAATGCAAGGTTCATAAAACGTAGGACCATACATGTTGTGCTCTATCTCCAGTGATAAGCATTAACAAAAGCTCATGTTTATAAATTATTTACTATATGTTTGAAACTGTTCTAACATTCACAAAAATCCTGTAAGGTATTAATATCCCCATTTGCAGATGAGGATCCTGAGACATGGAAAAGTTTAATAACTTTCCCAAGATCACACAGCTAATAAGTGATCAGACTGGAATTTAAACACAAGTAGTCTGATTCCAGAGGACAAACATAACCACCACTCCATATCTGCCTCCTTGATAGATAACTGAAAAATATTTGTTCACTAAGTAAATGAGCATCTTCTTGTAAAGGTCATCATTGTAGACAAGTATCCCACTGGGATGCACATAAAGGAAATGTAGCAATAACACAAGTCACCGTAAGTCTTTAGTCATGAGAGGAAAAGGTCTATCCACCAAAACAACAGCAACACAAAAATCACAAAAGAAGCAGTTTCATTTCTCCTATTTTTTCCTAGCTTTTCACATCAACAACAACAAAAACTTATTGAGTAAAAGTTGTGATTTTTCCAAAAATGTTTAAACGTATTTTTCCCTTAGCTGGCATACCTCCAGTTGACTTAAACTTTTCTTTGGGTACCATCCAGAGAGGACACTGAGGAAAGAGAAGACAGCCCTTTGACTCCACAATTTGTCAATATTTCACTCGTCCCAGGTATACAACATTCTCATAAACTCTCCTTTCTCCTCCCTATACCTCTGTATTAAAGTGTAATAGAAAAGATCTATTATAATCTACCTTACTTTTACATGAAAGTATATTACAGGTGGATCCAAGATTTGAATTTAAAATGGAACCATGAAAATACCAGACAAACTATAAAAGAATATTTTTATAATTTTGCAGAAGGAAAAAAAACTTTCAAAACAAGATGATAAATTGTTAGTAGCTAAAAATTTTAAAATTTATATTTGGCACAACAAACAGCAAAGCAAGGTTAAAAAAAACCTAACAACAAACTGGCAAATGAAAAAAAAGACAATACCAATGACAAAAGAATACTTTCCAAAATGTAGAACAAGCTCTCTAGATTCCTCCTCTCTGGACAGGGCATCTCTGAAAGAAAGGCAGCAGCCCCAGTCATGGGCTTATAGATAAAACTCCCATCTCCCTGGGACAGAGCACCTGAGGGAAATGGCAGCTGTGGGCACAGCTTCAGCAGACTTAAACGTTCCTGCCTGCTGGCTCTGAAGTGAGCAGAAGATCTCCCAGCACAGTGCTCGAGCTCTGATAAGGGACAAACTGCCTCCTCAAATGGGTCCCTGACCCCCTTCCCCCCTGACTGGGAGACACCTCCCAGCAGGGGTTGACAGACACCTCATACAGGAGAGCTCTGGCTGGCATCTGGTCGGTGCCCCTCTGGGACGAAGCTTTCAGAGGAAGAAACAGGCAGCAATCTTTGCTTTTCTGCAGCCTCTGCTGGTGATATCCAAGCAAACAGGGTCTGGAGTGGAACTCCAGCAAACTCCAGCAGACCTGCAGCAGAAGGGCCTGACTGTTAGAAGGAAAACTAACAAACAGAAAGGAATAGTGTCAACATCAACAAAAAGGATGTCCACACAGAAACCCCATCCGAAGGTCACCAACATCAAAAACCAAAGGTAGATAAATCCACGAAGATGAGGAAAAACCAGTGCAAAAAGGCTGAAAATTCCAAAAACCAGAATGCCTCTTCTCCTCCAAA
The DNA here is from genome assembly GCF_000001405.40 of Homo sapiens. Classification (NCBI taxonomy): domain Eukaryota; kingdom Metazoa; phylum Chordata; class Mammalia; order Primates; family Hominidae; genus Homo; species Homo sapiens. Next base: position 9,569 of record NW_021160028.1, on the reverse strand, counting down.
GGATCACAGCTCCTCGCCAGCAAGGGAACAAACTGGACAGAGAATGAGTTTGATGATTTGACAGAAGTAGGCTTCAGAAGGTGGGTAATAACAAACTCCTCCGAGCTAAAGGAGCATGTTCTAACCCAATGCAAGGAAGCTAAGAACCTTGATAAAAAGTTACAGGAACTGCTAACTAGAATAACCAGTTTAGAGAAGAACATAAATGACCTGATGGAGCTGAAAAACACAGCATGAGAACTTCGTGAAGCATGCACAAGTATCAGTAGCCAAATCAATCAAGCGGAATAAAGGATATCAGAGATTGAAGATCAACTTAATGAAATAAAGTGTGAAGACAAGATTAGAAAAAAAAGAAAAGGAACGAACAAAGCCTCTAAGAAATATGGGACTATGTGAAAAGATGAAACCTACGTTTGATTCGTGTACCTGAAAGTGACAGGGAGAATGGAACCAAGATGGAAAACACTCTTCAGGATATTATTCAAGAGAACTTCCCCAACCTAGCAAGACAGGCCAACATTAAAATGCAGGAAATACAGAGAACACCACAAAGATACTCCTTGAGAAGAGCAACCCCAAGACACATAATCATCAGATTTGCCAAGGTTGAAATGAAGGAAAAAATGTTAAGGGCAGCCAGAGAAAGGTCGGGTTACCCACAAAGAGAAGCCCATCAGACTAACAGCGGATCTCTCTGCAGAAACCCTATAGGCCAGAAGAGAGTGAGGGCCAATATTCAACATTCTTGAAGAAAATAATTTTCAACCCAGAATTTCATATCCAGCCAAACTAAGCTTCATAAGCAAAGGAGAAATAAAATCCTTTACAGACAAGCAAATGCTGAGAGATTTTTGTCACCACCAGGCCTGCCTTACAAGAGCTCCTGAAGGAAGCACTAAATATGGAAAGAAAAAACCAGTACCAGCCACTGCAAAAATATACCAAATTGTAAAGAACATCAACACTATGAAGAAACCACATCAACTAGCAGGCAAAATAACCAGCTAGGATCATAATGACAGGATCAAATTCACACATAAAAATATTAACCTTAAATGTAAACGGGCTAAATGCCCCAATTAAAAGACACAGATTGGCAAAGTGGATAAAGAGTCAAGACCCATCGGTGTGCTGTATTCAGGAAACCCATCACATGTGCAGAGACACACATAGGCTCAAAATAAAGGGATGGAGGAATATTTACCAAGCAAATTAAAAGCAAAAAAAGCAGGGGTTGCAAACCTAGTCTCTAAAACAGACTTTAAACCAACAAAGATCAAAAAAAAACAAAGAAGGGCATTACATAATGGTAAAGGGATCAGTGCAACAACCAGAGCTAACTATCCTAAATATATAAGCATCTAATACAGGAGCACCCAGATTCATAAAGCAAGTTCTTAGAAACCTACAGAGACTTAGACTCCCACACAATAATAGTGGGAGACTTTAACACCCCACTGTCAATATTAGGCAAATCAACGAGAGAGAAAATTAACAAGGATATTCAGGACTTGAACTCAGCTCTGGACCAAGTGGACCTAATAGACATCTACAGAACTCTCTACCCCAAATCAACAGAATATACATTCTTCTCAGCACCACATTGCACTTATTCTAAAATTGACCACATAATTGGAAGTAAAACACTCCTCAGCAAATGCAAAAGAACGGAAATCATAACAGTCCGTCAGACCACAGTGCAATCAAATTAGTACTCAAGATTAAGAAACTCACTCAAAACCACACAAGTACATGGAAACTGAACACCCTGCTCCTGAATGACTACTGGGTAAATAACAAAATTAAGGCAGAAATAAGTAAGTTCTTTGAAACCAATGAGAACAAAGACACAACATACCAGAATCTCTGGGACACAGCTAAAGCAGTGTTTAGAGGGAAATTTATAGCACTAAATGCCCACAGGAGAAAGCAGGAAAGATCTAAAATCAACACCCTAACATCACAATGAAAAGAACTAGAGAAGCGAGAGCAAACAAATTCAAAAGCTAGCAGAAGACAAGAAATAACTAAGATCAGAGCAGAACTGAAGGAGACAGACACATGAAAAACCCTTCAAAAAATCGAAGAATACAGGAGCTGGTTTTTTGAAAAGATTAACAAAATAGATAAACTGTTAGCCAGACTAATAAAGAAGAAAAGAGAGAAGAACCAAACAGACACAATAAAAAACAATAAAGGGGATATCACCACTGATCCCACAGAAGTACAAACTACCATCAGAGAATACTATAAACACCTCTATGCAAATAAACTAGAAAATCTAGAAGAAAGGGATACATTCCTGGACACGTACACCCTCCCAAGACTAAACAAGGAAGAAATCGAATCCCTGAATAGACCAACAACAAGTCCTGAAATTGAGGCAGTAACTAATAGACTACCAACCAAAAAAAGCCCAGGACCAGACGGATTCACAACCGCATTCTACCAGAGGTGCAAACAGGAGCTGGTACCATTCCTTCTGAAACTATTCCAAACAATAGAAAAAGAGGTACTCCTCCATAACTCATCTTATGAGTTCAGCATCATCCTGATAACAAAACCTGGCAGAGACAGAACAAGAAAAGAAAATTTCAGGCCAATATCCCTGACGAACATTGATGCAAAAATCCTCAATAAAATACTGGCAAACCAAATGCAGCAGCACATCAAAAAGCTTATCCACCACGATCAAGTTGGCTTCATCCCTGGGATGCAAGGATGGTTCACGTCAACATACGCAAATCAATAAACGTAATCCATCACATAAACAGAACCAATGACAAAAATCACATGATTATCTCAATAGATGCAGAAAAGGTCTTCGATAAAATTCAACACATCTTCATGCTAAAAACTCTCAATAAACTAAGTACTGATGGAATGTATCTCAAAATAATAAGAGCTATTTATGACAAACCCACAGCCAATATCATACTGAATGGGCAAAAGCTGGAAACATTCCCTTTGAAAACCGGCACAAGACAAGGATGCCCTCTCTCACCACTCCTATTCAGCATAGTATTGGAAGTTCTGGCCAGGGCAATCAGGCAAGAGAAAGAAATAAAGTGTATTCAAATAGGAAGAGAGGAAATCAAATTGTCTCTGTTTGCAGATGACATGACTGTATCTTTAGAAAACCCCATCGTCTCAGCCCAAAATCTCCTTAAGCTGATAAGCAACTTCAGCAAAGTCTCAGGATACAAAATCAATGTGCAAAAATCACAAGCATTCCTATCCACCAATAAGAGACAGAGAGCCAAATCATGAGTGAGCTCCCATTCACAATTGCTACAAAGAGAATAAAATTCCTAGGAATACAACTTACAAGGGATTTGAAGGACCTCTTCACGGAGAACTACAAACCACTGCTTAAGGAAAAAAGAGAGGACACAAACAAACGGAAAAACATTCCATGCTCATGGATAGGAAGAATCAATATCATAAAAATGGCCACACTGCCCAAAGTAATTTATAGATTCAATGCTATCCTCATCAAGTTACCATTGACTTTCTTCACAGAATTAGAAAAAACTACTTTAAATTTCATATGAAAACAAAAAAGAGCCCGGATAGCCAAGACAATCCTAAGCAAAAAGAACAAAGCTGGAGGCATCATGCTACCTGACTTCAAACTATACTACAAGGCTACAGTAACCAAAACAACATGGTACTGGTACCAAAACAGATATATAGACCAATAAAACAGAACAGAGGCCTCAGAAATAATGCCACACATCTACAACCATCTGATCTTTGACAAACTTGACAAAAACAAGCAATGGGGAACGGATTCCCCATTTAATAAATGGTGTTGGGAAAGCTGGCTAGCCATATGCAGAAAACTGAAACTGGACCCCTTCCTTATGCCTTATACAAAAATTAACTGAAGATGGATTAAAGACTTAAACGTAAGACCTAAAACCATAAAAACCCCCGAAGAAAACCTAGGCAATACCATTCAGGACATAGGCATGGGCAAAGACTTCATGACTAAAACACCAAAAGCAATGGCAACAAAAGCCAAAATTGACAAATTGGATCTAATTAAACTAAAGAGCTTCTGCACAGCAAAATAAACTACCATAAGAGTGAAAAGGCAACCTACAGAATGGGAGAAAATTTTTGCAATCTATCCATCTGACAAAGGGCTAATATCCAGAATCTACAAAGAATTTAAACAAATTTACAAGAAAAAAACAAACAACCCCATCAAAAAATGAGCAAAGGATATGAACAGACACTTCTCAAAAGAAGACATTTATATGGCCAACATATGAAAAAAAGCTCATCATCACTGGTCACCAGAGAAATACAAATCAAAACCGCAATGAGATACCATCTCATGCCAGTTGGAATGGCGATCATTAAAAAGTCAGGAAACAGATGCTGCAGAGGATGTGGTGAAATAGGAACACTTTTACACTTGGGAGTGTAAATTAGTTCAACCATTGTGGAAGACAGTGTGGCAATTCCTCAAGGACCTAGAATGAGAAATACCATTTGATTCAGCAATCCCATCACTGGGTATATGCCCAAAGGATTATAAATCACTCTACTATAAAGACACATGCACATGTATGTTTATTGCAGCACTATTCACAATAGCAAAGACTTGGAACCAACCCAAATGCCCATCAGTGATATACTGGATAAAGAAAATGTGGCACATATACACCATGGAATACTATACAGCCATAAAAAAGGATGAGTTCATGTCCTTTGCAGGGACATGGATGAAGCTGGAAACCATCATTCTAGGCAAACTAACACAGGAACAGCAAACCAAACACCACATGTTCTCACTCATAACTGGGAGTTGAAAAATGAGAACACATGGACACAGTGAGGGGAACATCACACACCCGGGCCAGTCAGGGGGTGGGGGCCTAGGGGAGGAATAGCATTAGGAGAAATACCTAATGTAGATGATGGGTTGATGGATGCAGCAAACCACCATGGCACATGTATACCGATGTAACAAGCCTGCACCATCTGCACATGTATCCTAGAACTTAAAGTATAAGAAAAAATGTACGAGAACTCTATGATCAATAAAATAGATGAACTTCCCATCAAAAAATTGGCAAGAAAATGAACAATTAGAAAAGAAATACAAATGACCACTAACCATGAAAATATGTTCAATTTCACTAAAAATAAATGCAGATTAAAACAACAATAGATTATTTTTGTTTAGGACACTGGCAAAGGTTTAATATATTGATAATAACTTCTGTTGATGGGGGAGTGGGTAAACAGTCATTTGTATTCACTGTCGATGCAAATAAAAACTGCCATAAACTTTGGGAGGGTTATTTGAAAATATCTGTTGGATTTCAAATGTTTGAACCCTTTTACCCAGAGATTCTACTTCTATTAATCTTTACTACAAAAATGCTTAGTTTCAGAAATAAGACCGAAAATTTCCCAAATCTGGGAGAGATATAAATCTAGACTGAAGATGCTAAGCAAATCGTAAACAGGATAAACCCAAAGTAATTAACATAATAAACACATCATAAAACTTCTGAAACTTAACAACACAGAAAAAAACTTTGAAGGCAGCAAGAGGGTAATGAAATATTTCTAATAGAAGTAAAAATTTCTGAATAACAGTAGATTTCTCATCAGAAACTGTGCAGCCCAGAAGAAGATGACACAATATTTTCCAAAAACTAAAAGAAAACAGCTCTAAACTCAGAATTCAATATCCAGGGAAAATATCCTTCAACAGTGAAGGGAAAAATGGCCGGGTGCGGTGGCTCATGCCTGTAATCCCAGCACTTTGGGAGGCCAAGGTGGGCAGATCACGAGGTCAGGAGATGGAGACCATCCTGGCTAACACGGTGAAACCCCGTCTCTACTAAAAATACAAAAAATTAGCCGGACGTGGTGGCGGACGCCTGTAGTCCCAGCTACTCAGGAGGCTAAGGCAGGAGAATGGCGCGAACTGGGAGGCGGAGGTTGCAGTGAGCCGAGATTGTGCCACTGCCCTCCAGCCTGGGCCACAGAGCAAGACTCCGTCTCAAAAAAAAAAAAAAAAAAAAAAAACAAGAGTGAAGGGAAACTCAAGACATTCTCAGATGAAGGAAAATTAAGAGAATTTGTTGCCAGTAAATCTACCCCAATAGAATAGAAAATTTACAAATTAAAAAAAAAGGTACAAAAGAAGGAATCTTAAAACATCAGGAAGAAAGAACAATAGAAAGAGCAAAGTATGGGTCAATTCAACAGACTTTCCTTCTGATCCTGAGTTTTCTCAAATATGTTTGACAGTTATGGCAAAAATTAGAACATGGTCTGATGTGGTTCTCAATGTAGGTACAGGAAATGTTAAAAACAGTAATATCAAAAAATAAAGGAGGATAAAGAGATGTAAAGGAAGGAAACGTTTCTATACCTCTCTCAAACTGCGAAATGATAACTCCAGAAGAATCTGAAAATACACACACACACACACACACAGAGTAATACCCAGAGCAACCACTGTGAAAGCCATGTGAAGAGAGACACTCAAAACCACTATAGATGCATCCAAATGGAATTATAGTGAATGTTCATGTAACTGACTGGAAGGCAGAAAGAAAAAGAAAATATAAAAATGAAAACTAGAAGGAATAACCAGAAAACAAAAAATAAAAATGGCAAACTTAAGATATGACAGATCAATAATCATATTAAATGTAAATAAATTAAGTAAAACAATTAAAAGACAGATATTGGCAAAGTGAATTTTAAAAAGCACACCCCAGGCCGGACACAGTGGCTCATGCCTGTAATCCCAGCATTTTAGGAGGCCGAGGCGAGCGGATCAGGAGGTCAGGAGATCAAGACCATCCTGGCTAACATGGTGAAACCCTGTCTCTACTAAAAATACAAAAAATTAGCTGGGTGTGGTGGCCCGACCCTGTAGTCCCAGCTACTTGGGAGGCCGAGGCACAAGAATTGCTTGAACCTGGGAGGCAGAGGTTGCACTGAGCTGAGATTGCGCCACTGCACTCCAGCCTGGGCAACAGAGTGAGACTCTGTCTCACACACACACACACACAAACACACACACACACAAGGCCTGGCGCGGTGGCTCACACCTGTAATCCCAGCACTTTAGGAGGCTGAGGCGGATGGATCACAAGGTCAGGAATTCGAGACCAGCCTGACCAACATCAACATGGTGAAACCCCGTTTCTACTAAAAATACAAAAATTAGCCAGGCGTGGTGGTGTGCACCTGTATTCCCAGCTACTCAGGAGGCTGAGGCAGGAGAATCACTTGAACCCGGGAGGTGGAGGTTGCAGTGAGCCGAGACCGCACCATTGCACTCCAGCCTGGGTGACAGAGGGAGACTCTGTCTCAAAAAAAAAAAAAAAAAAAAAAAAAGAAGCACACCCCAATGACATGCTGTCAACAAGAAAACCCCCTTCAAATACAATGATATAAGCAGGTGGAAATTAAAAAGTGGGAAAAGATATATCATGCATACATTAATTTTAAACAAACAAAAGTGGCTATATTAATATCAGTTAAAGTAATATCAGAGCAAAGTAAATTAACAGGGTCAGAGAGAAACATTACATAATAATAAAAGAGTCAATCGACCAAGAAGATACAGAAATCTCAAACGTGTATGTACCAACCATCAGATCTGCAAAATACACGAAGCAAAGACTGACAGAATTGAAAGGAAAAATAGACAAATCCACATTTACAGTTGGAGACTTCAACATCCCTCTCTCAATAATTGATTTTTAAAAATCAGCTAGATAAAAAATCAGCAAGGGTATAGAGGAATTCAACAACAACAGCAACAAACAGAATCTAATTGACATTTATAGAACACGATCCCCCCGCAAAAAAAAAAAAAATACACATTCATTTCAAGTGCCCATGGAACTTTCACCAAAATAGATGATGCCCTCAATTGTAAAACAAATCTCAGCAAATAAAATAAGAATTGAACTCATAACACAGTATGTTCTCTGACCACAATGGGATCAAACTAGAAATCAGTGACAAGAATAACAGAACAACAGGGCCAGGCGTGGTGGCTCATGCCTGTAATCCTAGCACTTTGGGAGGCCGAGGCGGGTGGATCACGAGGTCAGGAGATCCAGACCATCCTGGCTAACACAGTGTAACGCTGTCTCTACTAAAAATACAAAAAATTAGCCGGGCGTGGTGGCAGGCGCCTGTAGTCCCAGCTACTCGGGAGGCTGAGGCAAGAGAATGGCATGAACCCGGGAGGCGGAGCTTGCAGTGAGCCGAGATCGTGCCACTTCCCTCCAGCCCGGGCGACAGAGCAAGACTGCATCTCAAAATAAATAAATAAATAATAACAGAACAATCTCCAAACACTTGGAAACGAAACGACATACCTCATGGATCAAAGATGAAGGTTTAATCAAAATAAAAAAAAAACACTGAACTGAATGAAAACGAAAATACAACACATCAAAATTTGTGGGCCAGGTGTGGTGGCTCACACCTGTAATACCAGCAATTTGAGAGGCAAACATGGGGACAATAACCTGAGGCCAGGAGTTCAAGACCACCCTGAGCAACGTAGGGACATTCTGTCTCTATTTAAAATAGATATATTCATTTTTAAATTTATATATAATAAGTGTACATATTATATACATAAATATATTGTATTATATATTATATTTCATTATATATTTTATTATACATAAAATACAATATTATATACTATTTAATAAAATATATATTGTACATATATAGGGAGAGAGACAGATGATATATATAGAATAGATGATACCATATATACATATATACGTGGGTCACAGCTAAAATATATATATATATATATATATATATATATATATGGGCCACAGCTAAAACTGAAAGGTAAATTTATAACACTATTTAATATTAGAAAAGAGGAAAAGCTTAAAAGTCAATACTCTAAGCACCCACCTCAATACTAGAAAAAGAAGAGAAAAATAAATCCAATGCAAGCATAACTTAGGAAAAAATAATGATAAAAGCAGAAATCAGTGAAATTAAAAACAGAAAAACCAATAGTAAAAATCAATTAAATGAAGTCTGGTTCTTTGAAAAGATTAAAAACCTGGCAAACCTCTACCAAGATTGACAAAGAAAAAGAAGACACAAATTAGCAATATCAGAAATGACATAGATTAATAAATTTTACAGATCTGCTGTACAACAGAGTGCCTGTAGTTAACAGCATTGGGCACTTCAAAATTTGTTAAGAGGGTAGATATCATGTTAAGTGTTCTTGCCAAGAAAACACCCAACAACAACAAAGGAACACAAGGAAACTTTGGCTGGTGTTGGATGTGTCTACTACCTTGATTATGGTAATGGAATAATGAGTGTTTATATATGAACAAGTTCGTCAAATTATACACATTAAATATATGCAGTTCTTTGTATTAATATATCAATTATACCTCAATAAAAGTTTTTTTAAAAGAAATAAAACAGGGGATTATGCTACAGACCCTACTGACATAAAAAGGATAAAGGAATACTTTAAACAACACTACACACATAAATTTGACAACTTAAAAGAAATGGAT
>NW_021160031.1:0-17435 GCF_000001405.40 Homo sapiens | reverse complement strand
TTTCCACCATAGGGGGAGTCACCACTGAGGGTGTCCATCTTAGAGCTGGGGTCCAGGGTGTGAGTGTACACAGTGGTAATGCTGGTGTCTGGGAAGTAGGCAGATAAAGAGTGGCTGTGGCAGTGGGGCCCAAGGTATGGGCATGCATAGAACAGTGGTGGTGCCAAGGTCTGGGATGCAGGCACAACTGTGGCAGCAAGTGGTGCTAGTTTCTGGGGTACAGGCCTCAGTGGAACATTGGTGATGCTGGAGTCTGGGGCATGGGCATGCGAGGAGCAGAGGCGAAAGTACCTGGGGATGTATGTTGAATGCTAGTGCAGAGTTGATAGGCAAAAATGGGTCCTTCTCTGAGCAGTGATGACTGAAAGGGTCCTCAGTAGCGAGAGATCCTCTCCTTTTCTCCCATGGGGAAAAGTCATGGCCAATGGAATCCTTCTTGGCATCAACCTGTGCCAGACTGGCGGAGGTGGTGATGTCGGAAAATGCTTCCGATACATTTTTATGCTGTCATCTTAAGATTTCGTGCTCCAATTTGGTTGCTGCAGCTTTTTCATTGTATTCTGGAACTCTCCCAGAGCTGTTTTTGTCAGTAAGTAGTTGTTTAATCATTATTTTTCTGGGGAGGTCAACATTCGGACCTCCTAGTATACCATGTTGCTGACATCAACTCCTCAATGTTGGCCCATTTAATAAGGAAATTGTTATTTCCCCTTATAGGTTTGCATCAGGTTCTAAAACCACACTGAGGCTGGGCACAGTGGCTCATGCCTGTAATCCCAGCACTTTGGGAGGCCGAGGTGGGTGGATCACTTGAGGTCAGGAGTTTGAGACCAGCCTGGCCAACATGGTGAAACCTCATCTCTACTAAAAATACAAAAAAAACTAGTCAGGTGTGGTGGCTTGTGCCTATAATTCCAGCTACTCAGGAGGCTGAGGCATGAGAATTGCTTGAATCCAGGAAGCGGAGGTTGCAGTGAGCCAAGATAGAGCCACTACACTCCAGCCTGGGTGACAGAACAAGACTCTGTCTCAAAAATAAAGCAAAATAATAATAATAAATAAAAATAAAAATAAAAACAGACTGAAAACTGCTTAACAAAATTATAGGTTAAACTTTGGTTTTGCAGTTTTATACTTCCAGATTGAGTATATATAAAGATTTTTATCATATTCATAAAAATTTACCACAAATGACTATTTTCATATCATATAACACAGATACAGAATAGCAGGGAACTTCAAGTCCTTGACAAACCTAGTGTGCAAAATAGGCCTGTATGAGCAAAGCTGCACAGCAACCTCAATATCTTCATATATCTATTCAAGTGCAGTTAATCTTTGCATTTCATGAGTAGAAATGTAAAATTCACTCATAAATTGAAGATATCAAGCAATTTCTTTATATTTTCAAAATAACGGGTAAAACTGTCTGAGGAAAATAAATTGTTTGCTTCAGAAGTTTGTAACACAGATTTGAAGTGTATTTCTGTTTCCAATAATGAAGGAATCCATCTGTAAATGGAAGTATATTTATATATTTCATCCTAGCAAGAGGGAATGTGTATCTGTTTATGTGAAAATATTTTGTTTGTAGTGCAGCTTGCCTGTAAGCATCATATGCCTGAGGAACTAGGTCTTTTCTAGGTAATTTTGTAAGCCAAGTCCCAGAATTTCCCTCAAAACCCACCACCATAACTTGAAGTTCGTGTCACCACTATATCTTATTGTATTTCTGCAATGGTTTCCAAAATAGCCTTCTCCTTGAGCATATTTTTGTAACATGAAGATCTGGTGAAATTCACACTCCTGCTAATCTTCCAGGCTCATCTAAACTTACCAAACTTACCTACACGCGCGCACACACACACACACAAGCATACACACACACACCGCCACACAGCCACACATACATGCTCCTGCATTCCAGACTCTATTCAATATTTCTTTTCTTACCTCTATGATCTTCCCTATTGTTAAGACTTCACTCTGGCCATGTGATCCTGTTTCATTTCTCTCCCCACCAAGGCCAATTTTTTGATTAGTTTTAGTAAGATCTTGTAATCTTGTATTTTCAGACAAGGAAACTTCTTTTTTTCAGTTGCTTTCTATGGAAAAATTTAATCTAATATTCTAGATAAGTGATTTGATGTTTTCAAAATCTACGAAATTCCGTTACTTGTTTATGCCTCAGAGGGGTCAATATTATACCTTCTGGATCAGTGTTAATTGGTTTCTGTGGTTTTTCATCAAACTCTTGTGTTTCATACAGCAGTGTTCACCCTTATACATTCAATGTTTGGTTTCTTTGAACAGGAGACATATCTGACAAAAGTCAGCCTGATCATGGCTATCTCTGTATTTCATAGTCCATTTGTCACTTCTAAATTATTTTATATGAGGCAGACATTACCTGTGTTTTAAGTAACACTCAACATGTTTGTCTTCCTCATCCCATTCACTCTGTTTAATCTCACACCTACGTCTCTTAAACTGACAACTTCCTTTAAAACTCCTTTGTCTAATTTGCTTCTACTCATACTTTAGATTTTATATCCTTTAATAAGCAGTCAACAAGATTCAAAATTGGCTTTGGTGACTTTTATATATGTTACTATAAGCTATTTTGTATTTCCTACATGCAGTACCCACCAGAGAAACTCCATAGGCTCAAATAGTCAATTTGTCTTGCAGAAAGCAATTGAGCATACTTGGCCGTAGATCCACCTAGAAGGATATAGGGTACGAAACACAATATGCCAGAAGGGCTGTGTTAGGTGTGTCTTTTATATCAGAGTGTTTGTAGTAGTATAGGGTTAGCTAGTTTTCTTTGTCCTCAAAGTACAAATTCAACTAGGAAGCAGTAGGATCACGTAGGAGAACATGGAGGCGATCCTGACTTAGAAGTCCAATGCTCCATAGGGGTCAATATCTCTTGTACCAATACTTGAGAGCAGCACTCCAGGATCTTGGAAATGGACATAGCCAGTTACAAAATTCACCACACTCAGGTGTCATATTACAATCCTCCTGGTCCAGATGCAGTTTGCCAGTAAGGAGTCATGTTCAACAATATAAAGTTGTCTAGTAACAATGCAGGTATTCCACTTTTATCAGGCTTCGTGGGACACAGAACTAGAAAGTTAACCAAAGGTAGGTTTTCATGAAGATGAAAGGGTGAAACAGGCTTTGTTTATCCTTTATCCACTATATATATATATAAAAATTTGGATATATAAAAATTTTAAAAAATATATAAATATTTATACATACAAATACATATAAAAATATATATATTTATATATACAAATATATGAAAACATATATATTTATATATACAAATATATAAATATATATATATTTATATATACAAATATATAAATATATATATATTTATATATACAAATATATAAAAATATATATTTATATATAGAAATATATAAAAATATATATATTTATATATACAAATATATAAATATATACATTTATATGTAACCTATAAATGTATATATTAATATATATACAAATATATAAATATATATACAAATCTATAAATATATATTTATATATACAAATCTATAAATATATATTTATATATACAAATCTATAAATATATATTTATATATACATGTCTATAAATATATATTTATATATGTATATATAAATATATATTTATGTATACAAATCTATAAATATATGTTTATATATGTATATACATATATCAATATATATTTATATATACAAATCTATAAATATATATTTATATACACATATAAATATATATTTATATATGCATATATAAATATATATTTATATACACATATAAATATATATATACAAACCTAAAAGTATTTATATTTACAAATCTATGAATATATATTAATATATACAAATCTATAAAAATATATTTATATATACAAATCTATAAATATATATTTATATGTACAAATCTATAAATATATATTAATATATACAACTATATAAACATATATATTAATATATACAACTATATAAACATATATATTTACATATACAAATATATAAACATATATATTTATATATACAAATATGTAAACATATATTTATATATACAAATATGTAAACATATTTATATATACAAATATGTGAACATATGTATTTCTATATACAAATATATAAATATATATTTATATATACAAATATATAAATATATACTTATATATACGAATATATAAATACATATTTATGTATATGAATATATAAATACATATTTATATATATGAATATATAAATACATATTTATATATATGAATATATATATAAATATGTATTTATATATACGAATATTTATATACACAAATAGATAAATATATATTTATATATATAAATATTTATATATATTTATACAAATATATAAATATATATATTTATATATACAAATATAAAAAATATATATTTATATATACAAATATAAAAAATACATATTTATATATACAAACATAAAAATATATATATTTATATATACAAATATAAAAATAAATATATTTATATATACAAATGTATAAATATCTATATTTATATAGACAAATATATACATATTTATAAATATAAATATGTATACTAATATATATTTATAAATATAAATATGTATACTAATATATATTTATATAAATAAATATAAATATAACTATATATATCTAATATATATATTTATATCTGATATATATAAATATATATATTTATATCTGATATATATAAATATATATATTTATATCTGATATATATAAATATATATATTTATATCTGATATATATAAATATATATATTTATATCTGATATATAAACATATATATCTAATGTATAAATATACATATTTATATCTAATATATATAAATATATATATTTATATCTAATATATATAAGTATATATATTTATATCTAATATATGTAAATATATATATTTATATCTAATATATGTAAATATATATATTTATATCTAATATATAAATATATATATTTATATCTAATATATATAAATATATACATATATATAATATATAATATATACATATATATTATATATAATATATATATGAATATATATAAATATATATTTATATATTAAATATAATATATATTATATATAAATGTATATATTATATATAATCTATATAAATTTATATAAATTAAATATAATATATAAATATATATATTATATGTAATATATAGAAATATATATAAATTATATATAATATATATGATATATACAAATATATATGAATTATATATAATATATAATATATATCATATATTATATATTATATATAATATATATTATATATTGTATAATATATATGATATATATTATATAATATATATCATATATATTATCTATTATATAATATATATCATATATATTATATATTATATCTAATATATATTATCTATTATATAATATTATATAATGGATAATATATATCATATAATATACATAATATATAAATATATATTTACATATATATATACATAATATGTATATACATAAATATATAATTATATATAAATATATGTGAATATAGATTTATATAAATTTATAAGTATAGATTTATATATAATTATATAATATATAAGTATAGATTTATATATAATTATATAATATATAAATATATATATTATATCAGTTATAAATATATATAATGTAATGTATGTATATGTAATATAATATATATATTATATGATATACGTATATATATCATATAATATATATTATATGATATATGTATATATCATATAATATATATTATATGATATATGTATATATATCATATAATATATATTATATGATATATGTATATATATCATATAATATATATTATATGATATATGTATATATATCGTATAATATGTATATATATCATATAATATATATTATATGATATATGTATATATATTATATAATATGTGTTATATAATATATGTATATATATTATATAATATATGTTATATATGTATATATTTTATAATATATATATTACATAATATATGTATATATAAGATAATATATATTTATATAAATATATGAATATATATTATATAAATTATATAAATATATATTTATACAATATATAAATATATATTATACAAATATATATTTATATAATTATATAAATATATATTTGTATTCTATAGAAATATATATTTATATAAGATATACAAATATATATTTATATATAATACATTATGTAAACATATATATTACATAAATATATATAAATCTATATTTATATTAATATACAAATATATATTTATATTAATATATATATTTGTATTATTATATAAATATATATTTATATTAATATATGAATAAGTATTTATATTATTATATGAATACAGATTTATAAATCTGTATTCATATAATAATATAAATATGTATTGATATAATAATATATCAATATAAATTTAAATAATACATCAATATATATTTATATAATAATATAAATACATATTTATATTATTATATAAATATGTAATTATAGATATTTATATTGATTTATAAATATGTATATTTACATTTATATATATCTATCTTAATGTATAAATGTATTTATATAAATATATATTTATAAATTTTTATGTACATTTATATATACAAATAAATATATATAAATATATATAATATATATATTTCTTATTATTAATATAAATAATTTATATATAAATGTATTTATATAAATATATATTTATATGAATATATAAATATATATTTATATTAATATATATATTTATATTTATATATATAAATATATATATTATATATATATTTATATTTGTATATATATATAATATATATTCATATGTTAAGATAAATATATATATATTAATATAAATATATATATATATTAATATAAATATATATTTATCTTAACATATAAATAGATATTTATCTTTATATATAAATATTTATCTTAATATATAAATATATATAAAATGTATTTAAAAATATATATATTGTATATAAACATATATAAAATATATATAAATATACACATTTATATATAGATTATATATAGATTATACAAATCATATATAGATTTATATGTAATATATTTTTAAATATATTTGTATATAAATATGTTTTTATATACATAAACATATATATAGATATATATTTATATATAACATACATAAAAATATAATTTTATTAAATATATAAAAATCTATATATATAAATACATGTAAATGTATATAAAATCTATCTATATATAAATATATCTAAAATATATGAATGTTTATAAATATGAATACATATATTAATATCTATAAATATATACAAATATACACAAATAGAAATAAATATATATATATACATAAATATATATTAAAAATATATATATAAATATATGAATATATATTAAAAATATATATATGAATATATTTTCAAAATATATATGAAAATAAATATATATTAAAAAATATATGAATATATATAAATATAGACTGAAAATATATCAATATATATTTACATGTAAATATATAAATATATATATTTACATGAAAATATGTCTATATATATTTACATAAAAATATATCTATATATTTACATAAATGTATATCAATATATATTTACATAAATATATATCAATATATATTTACATAAAATATATAAATATATATTTGTATAAAATATACAAATATATATTTATATAAAAATACATAGATATATATTTATATAAAAATAAATAAATATATATTTATATAAAAATATAAATATATATGAAAATATATAAATATATATTTACATAAATATATATAAATATATACAAAAATATATAAATATGTATTTATATAACTATATATATTTGTACATATAAATATGTATATATAAATATATATAAAGATATATACCTATATAATTATATATAAATATGTATAAATACAAAAATATATAAATATATATTAATATAAAAAATATATATTTGTATATATATTTATATTTTTATAAATATATATATGCCTATGTAAAAATTTATATTTACATAAAAATATATAAATGTATATTCATATATAAAAATATATAAATATATATATTCATATATAAAAATATATATTTATATAAATATATAAACATATAAATTCATATATAGAATATATATTTATATAAATATATATATTCATATATAAAATATATATTTATATAAATATATAAATATATGTATTCATATATAAAAATATATATTTATATAAATATTTATTCATAAATAAATATATATTTATATATATTCATATATAGAAATATGTATTCATATATGAAAATATAGATATTTATATAAAAATATGTATATTTATGTAAATATATTCACATATAAAAATATATCTTTATATAAAAATATACATATTTACATAAAGATATATTCATATATAAAATATATTCGTATATTTTATATATATTCATATACAAAAATATATATAATCATATATAAAAAATAGTCTTATATAAAATACATATATTTTCTTATATAAAAATATATATACTCATATATAAATATTTATATTCATATATAAAAATATATATACATATATAAAAATAAAGGTATTCATATATAAAAGGAAATGTATTCATATATAAAAATATATGTATTCATACATAAAAATATATGTATTCATATATATACGTGTATAAATATATATTTTATATAAAAATATATTTATATAAAAAATATATAAAAATATATGTAGTTTTCTACAAATATATACATATTTTTGTCTTTATAGATACAAATATATATTTATATATAATGCATATATTAATATATATTTTATATAAATATACTTATATTTATTATATATATATTTATATATATTATATATATTATATGTTATATATTATATATATTATATATAATATATTTTTATATAATATATATTTATATATTATATATATTTATATGTATATTTATATAAATTTTTATATACATATATATTTATATATTATATATATTTTTATATAAACATATACATTTAATATATTATATATATTATGTATATGTTTATATAAAGATAAATTTTTATATTGCATATACATATTTGTATAGATAATATATATTAATATATATAATATATATGAAACATATGAAATGTATTATAAATATATATATGTAAATTTATATTAACAGTTAAAAATATATAGTTAAATATAAATATATATATTCGTATATAGATACATTGGTATACAAATAGATATATTTGTATATAAATAGATCTATTTATATCCCCATATATCTATTTATATACGAATATATCTATATACGAATATACATATTTATGTATAAATATATATATTTATATACAAAAAATGTATGTGTAAATATGAAAAATATATATTTATGTATTGTTATATAAATATATAGTATATTTTAATATTTTATATATATTTTAATATATACATTTAATATATATTATATATTATATATAATAACATTGATATATTTTATTATATATATAATATATGTAATATTTTATATAAATATTAGATATATATAATACATATTTATATATTTATATAAATATAGATATAATTTATATATATATTTGTATGTAAAATATATATTTATGTGTAAAAATGTATAATTGTATATAGAAAAATGTATATATGTATACATGTAAAAATACGTATATTTATATATTGAAATATATATGTATATATAAAAATATATTTATATTAAAATGTATAATTATATATAAATTTATATTCATATTGAAATATATATTTATATATAAAATATATTTATATTAAATTATATATTCATATATTAATATATATTGATATATAAAAATATATTCATATTAAAATATAGATTTATATATAGAATATATATTCATATTAAAATATATATTTATATATAAAATATATATTCATATTAAAGTATATATTAATATATAAAATATATATTTATTTAAGAAATATATTTATATATAAGATTATATGTTTTATAAAAATATATATTTATATAGAAATATATATATTTTTACATAAAAATATACATATATTAATATATAAAAATATGTATAAATATATATTTATATATATCAATATCTAAAAATATATAATTATTTATACTTATATGTAAATATATAAAAATATATAAATATTTATATTTATACATAAAAATATATGAAAATATATAAATATGTATATTTATATAAACAGATAATAATGTATACTTATATATTAATATATAAATATATAAAAATACATACATATATATAAATATATTTATATATATTTATGTATAAATATATAAAAATGTATAAATATATAAATTTATATATAAATATATAAAAAATTTAAATATATATTTTTACATCCAAATATATGTAATTATATATAAATATATTAAAATATATGAATATATTAATATATATAAATATATATTTTATATATAAATATATTAAGATTTATAAATATATATTTTTTATATATAAATATATTAAAATATATAAGTATATATTTATATATACATATATTAAAATACATAAGTATATATTTTAATATATAAATATATTTAAATATATAATTATATATGTAAATATATGAAAATATATAAGTATATATTTTTATATATAAATTTATGAAAATATATTAGTTTATATATTTATATATAAATGTATTAAAATATATAGATATATATTTTTATATATAAATGTATTAAAATATATAGATATATATTTTTATATATAAATATATTTAAACACATATATTTATATATACATATATTAAAACATTTAAATATATATATTTATATTTAAATATATGAAAATATATAAATATATATTTATATTTAATAATATATATTTATATTTAAAAATATATAAGTATATATTTATATTTAAAAATATATAAATATATATTTATATTTAAAAATACATAAATATATATTTAGATTTAAAAATACATAAATATATATTTAGATTCAAAAATACATAAATATATATTTAGATTCAAAAATACATAAATATATATTTAGATTCAAAAATACATAAATATATATTTAGATTCAAAAATATATAAATATATATTTAGATTTAAAAATATATAAATATATATTTATATTTAAAAATATATAAGTATATATTTATATTTAAATATATATAAATATATATTTATATTTAAATATATATAAATATACATTTATATTTAAATATATATAAATGTATATTTATATTTAAATATATATAAATGTATATTTATATTTAAATATATATAAATGTATATTTATATTTAAAAATTTATAAATGTATATTTATATTTAAAAATTTATAAATATATATTTATATTTAAAAATTTATAAATATATATATTTGTATTTAAAAACATATCTAAATAAGTACATTATATTTAAAAAATATATTAATATAAATATATATTACATAAATATATATTTATATGTCCATATTATATATAGCCACATTATATATTTTTCCACATTACATATATGTCCACATTATTTATTTATATATATATATATATAAACCTATAGACACACATAATTTTAAAGTAATCTTCATCGTCTATTACAATCCTCAGAAGGCCCTCCAGAACATTTAGAATAAAAGCTAAAGTTCCCACCAGGAATGAGAAATATCTCATTTTAGAGCCTTTGAATTTCCTCTGTTTTCTGCCTGCCGTATTCCGTTCCTAAATGTTCATTTGGTTAACCTTATTCAGTCATCTTTCAGATGTCACTTTTCAGAGAGTCCCTCTCTGACCACTTAACCCAGATTATCACCATCCACCACTCCCTATAGCCTTATCCTGTGTGATGGTTAATTTTGTGTGTCAACTTGACTGGGCTAGGAAGTACTCAAATAGTTGGTAAAATATTATTCCTGGATGTGTCTGTGAAGGGGTTTCTGGAGGAGATTAGCATTTGAATTGGTAGACTGAGTAAAGAAGATCACCCTTACCAATATGGATTGGCATCATCCCATCCATTGATGTCTCAAATAGAACAAAATGGGGGAGGAACAGTGAATTGTGTTTGAGCTGGGACATCCATGTTATCTTGCCCTAGGACATCAGAGCTCCAGGTTCTTGGGTCTTTGGACTCACATTGGGACTTAGACCACTGGCCTTTCTGGTCTTCCAGCTTGCAGATGGCAGTTCTTGGCCTCCAGAATGATATGATGAGCCAATTCGTATAATAAATCTGTCTATCTATCTCCCTCCCTCCCTCCCTCCCTCCCTATCTATCTTCTATTGGTTCTGTTTCTTTGGAGAACCCTAATACACTCTGTTTTATTTTTTATATTACATTTATCTCTATGAGATGTTTTATGTGTATTTATTTCCCCTCTTCTTTTCTTTTTTTTCTCTTAGCGGGGTCTCACTCTGTCACCTAGGCTGGAGTGCAGTGGTGCAATTTCAGCTTACTACAGCCTTGACCTCCCAGGTTCAAAATCCTCCCACCTCAGCCTCCCAAGTAGCTGGGACTACAGGCATGCACCACCATGCCTGGCTACTTTTCCTAGAGACAGGGTTTCCCTATGTTACCCAAGCTGGTCTTGAACTCCTGAGTGTAAGAAATCTGCCTGCCTCAGCCTCCCAAAGTGCTGAGATTACAGGCGTGAGCCACTACACCTGGCCACCCCCTCTTCTTTTCTAAGCTAAATGTTCTATGAAAACCAAGACTTAGTCTATTAGCCTCTGAAATCCCAGTACTTAGAAAGTGCAGAGCACAAAGTAGATGCTCAAAAAGTATTTACTGAATGAATTATTAATAACTGAGGAGAAGCTTCTATAAATTATCAGATTTGTTAACATTCTATAGCATTTCTCTCAAATTTTAAAAATCAAAACTCCTTCTATCCTCATCTCCTTTTATAACCAGTGCAAAACTGTCCCTGCTAGAAGTGGTCTCTCCTTCACAAAAAATTCTAGCTCTCTCCTTCACAAAAAGTTGTAGCTCATTTCTTCCTGATAAATAGAGTGTATCATACCATTTCCAATACTATAATACATGTCTTTTAATCATTTTTATTATAATCACATACAAAGCAAAGGCTGTGTGTCATTTACTTTTAACTTTATATGTGCCAGTTAGTATGTTAATTATCTCCTTTATCTCATTGTCTTAATATGCATCACAGCATTTAAAATATAATAGACACTCAAATATTTGAGTAAATAGATTAATGAATTTATCTTGTGAATTAACAAAGCAGGTAAGCCAGCCTGCAGTTTGAGATGCCTCGGACGACACTGGTTCATTGGAAGAGCTATGATGTCCTAGACAAACAAAAAAGGAGATTTAAGTCTTCCATGTCACTGAAAGAAAAATCAATGAGCTAGGTTTTTCTCTATTATAAAAATTCATTGATTAATATGCATGCTTTATAAAAATAGCAATACATTAGGGTCAGAAATCATGTACATGAATACCTGCTTTTCCACATTTGGTTATGTAATCTGGCACTTCCTGGTGCATATCTTCTCATCTATAAAAAGGAAACCATACTATCAATCTCAAATAAACTTTGGTGAGAATTAAAGGATACTTTATATAATTGCCCAATGCCATGGGCATCACACAATTGATGCTCAACATAAAGGCATACCTTGGAGATACTGCATGTTTGGTTGCAGACCACCACAATAAAACAAATATCACAATAAAGCAAGTCACATAAACTTTTTGATTTCCTAGTGCATATAAAAGTTATGTTTACACTATACTGTAGTCTCTTAAGTGTGTAATAGCATTATATTTAAAATGTATATACTTTATTTAAAAATAATTTATTGCTAAAAATGTTAACAATCTTTTGGTCTTTCGGCAAGTTGTAATCTTGCTGGTGGCGAGAGGTCTTGCCTCGATGTTGATTGCTGTTGATCAATCAGGGTGGTGGTTGCTGAAGGTTGGGGGATTGGCTATGGCAGTTTCTTAAAATAGGACAACAATGAAGTTTGCCATATCAATTGACTCTTCCTTTCACAAAAGATTTCTCTGTAGCATGTGATGCTATTTGATAGCATTTTACCCACAATATAACTTCTTTCAAAATTTGAGTCAATCTTTTCAAATCCTGTTAACTACATTTCTGTAATATTCTAAATCTTTTTTTTTTTTTTTGGTCATTTCAGCGATGTTCACAGCTTCACCAGGAGTAAATTCAATCTCAAGAAACCACTTTCTTTGCTCATCCATAAAAAGCAACTCCTTATCCATTCAAGTTTTATCATGAGATTGTAGTAATTCAGTCGCATCTTCAGGCTCCACTTCTGGTTCTCTTGCCATTTCTGCCACATCTGCAGTACCTTCCTCCACTGAAGTCTTGAACCCCTCAAAGTCATCCATAAAGACTGGGATCACCTTCTCTCATACTCCTATTAGTGATGATATTTTGACCTTCTCCCATTAATCATGAATGTTCTTAATGGCAGCTATAATGGTAAATTATTTCCAGAAGGTTTTCAATCTTCCTTGCCCAGATCTATCAGAGGAATCACTTTCCATTGTAGCTATGGCCTTACAAAACACATTTCTTAAATAATAAGACAAATAATAAGTCAAAATTGCTCCTTGATTCACGGGGTGCAGAATGGATGTTGTGTTAGTAGGCATAAAAACAGCATTAATCTACTTGTACATCTCCATCAGAGAGCTCTGGGTGACCTGGTGTACTGTCAACAAGCAGTAATATTCTGAAAGAAATCTGTTTTTTTTCTCAGTACTAGATCTCAACAGTGGGCTTAAAATAGTCAGTGAACAGATGTGCTACTACCCAGGCTTTGTTATTCTATTTATAGAGCACTGGGAGATTATATTTCACATAATTCTTAAGGGGCCTAGGAGTTTTGGAATAGTAAATGAGCACTGGCTTCCACTTAAAGTCATCAGGTACATTAGCTCCTCACAACAAAGGTAGTCTGTCCATTGAAGCTTTGAAGCCAAGCATTAACTTCTTCTCTCTAGATACGTCATAGATGACATGTTTTTCCAGTATAAGGCTGTTTTATCTGTATTGTAAATCTGTTGTTTACTATAACCATCTTCATCAGTTATCTTAGTTAAATCTTTCGGATAATTTGCTGCAGCTTCTCCATCAGCACTTGCTGCCTCATCTTGCACTTATAAAGATGGCTTCTTCCTTAAAGCTCATAAACCAACCTCTGCTAGCTTCCAACTTTCCTTCTGCGGCTTTCTCCCCTCTCTCTCTTCACAAAATTGATGAGACTTAGGACCTTGCTCTGGATTAGGCTTTGGCTTAAGAGCACATTGTGGCTGGTTTTGATAGTCTATTGAGACCACTCAATTGCATATCAGCAATAAGGCTGTTTCACCTTCTTATCATTGGTGTGTTCACTAGAGTAGCACTTTTAATTTCCTTCAAGAACTTTTCCTTTGAATTCACAACTTGGCTAACTGTTTGGCACAAGAGACCTAGCTTTTGGACTATACCAGCTTTTGACTTGCCTTCCTCACTAAGCTTAATAATGTCTAACTTTTTATTTAAAGTGAGAGACATGTGACTCTTCTTTTCACTTGAATACTTAGAGGCCATTGTGGGGTTATTAATTGGCCTAATTTCAATATGTGTCTCAGAAAATAGGGAGGCCCTATGAGAGGGAGAGAGATGGGGGAATGGTTAATTTGTGGAGCAGTCAGAACAGGCACAACATTTATTGATTAAGTTCACATCTTATATGGACATGGTTCATAGTACTGCAAAACAATTACAAGAGTAACATAAAGGATCGCTGATCACAGATCACCATAACAGATATAATAATAATAAAAAGATTTGAAATATTGTGAGGAATGTCAAAATATGACAGACAGGAAGTGAGCACATGCTGTTGGAAAAATGGTGCCAAGAGACGTGCTCAGTGCAGGTTTGCCACAGTCAATTTGTATAAAACACAATATCTGCAAAGCACAATAAAGTGAAGCAAAATAAAACAGGGTATGCCTATAGATTTATGGAAGAGAAGGAGGAAGAGATGTAATAAAGAATGGTGTAACAAACACAGAAAGGAAAGAAGCCATGGTGGAAAAGAAACATTTTGATCACATTAATCCAGTGTGATAGCCTCCAATTTAATCATACTCAATCTTAGCTGTTGCTTAACATGAAGAAATACATTTGCAAAATCAGAGTCAATAGTAAGCCCTCTTTTGTTTATTAGGAATGGCAAATCCCAGTAAAATATGCTTTCTTGGAGAAATTATGTGAGTTTCTCAACACTGTAACTACCCAC
The DNA here is from genome assembly GCF_000001405.40 of Homo sapiens. Classification (NCBI taxonomy): domain Eukaryota; kingdom Metazoa; phylum Chordata; class Mammalia; order Primates; family Hominidae; genus Homo; species Homo sapiens. The sequence goes on along the minus strand of NW_021160031.1, from coordinate 1,201 downwards.
ATTGGTATCAGTTGTCATGCAGGCAAACAGGAGCAGCATTTAATCTATTTGGATTTTAAACACCAGTGAGACTTCAGAAAACAATCTGACCTCCAATCTATAGTTTATAGAAAGCAAAGGAGTTTAGGACAGCCTGATACATAATTTTATTTGTGTAGCCTCTTAAAGTTTTCAAAGCCCATTCATCTTTGCATAATTATTTTTTCTTTTTGATGCTAACGGCATAAAGATTTAAATATTATTTCCATTTTATAGCTAAGAAAATTTCAAATAACTGTGTTATCTAAGGTTAAGAGTGAGGTTTAGAGTTAAAGTCTTCTAATTGCATGTCTTTTTTTCCCTAATGCTGAAGTGACACTTTGATAATCGTGTCTTATTTCCATACTGGCATTCAGCAATTTTATGAACAAAGAAATATTCACTTTGAAACCTTGGGCTCCAACCACTGAAACAAGGGTAGGAACACTTGCACGGGGGCCTCTAATAAAGGAAAAAGAAATATATGCCTTCATATTTCTTGAAGTAGTTGTAGTCTGATTTTCTCTCTTGGCCTGGCATAGTATCCATAGCTTTGTCAGTTGTGTAGCAGAAGTGGTGATAAATTCAGCTCTGGAAGGATGTAAAAGCCAGAAGCCAAATAGAATTGGATTCCATGGGCAGTGATACCCCTGCTATGCACTCCTAATCTCTGATCATTTAAACAGAGCTTGAGGATATTGACCTCTTTTCATTCTATGATTAGAGTAACTAAGGAATCTTTAGTGCGTATAATAAAAACTATGCCTTTAAGTAAGAAAAATATTTACAGCATCATTCAACAAATATTTGCATCATGAAGAAGTTGATGACACATGAAATAATTGAAAGATAATGAAGTAGCCAATTTTGTAATTTTGTAGTTTATAATTTAAAAAAAAGTGAAATCTGGAGGTTCTTAATAATTTACTTTGCTGGTTCCTTTTTTTTTTTTTTTTGGTCCAGGAACACAGCACTTAACTTTTTGAATAACGTTACATCCCACTAAAGAAATAAAGTATATCTCAGTCTTTCTAACAATTTGAGGGAAAAACATTTTGTATTCATAACAATCATAGTGAAAACAAACACTTTAATTATTAAACATTGCTAACTAGATTCATATATTCATATTAAAATTGTTTTAAATGAGTATATGTTTGGGTGTTGAAAATAGGTTAGAGTA
>NW_015148969.2:0-101040 GCF_000001405.40 Homo sapiens | reverse complement strand
GATCACAAGGTCAGGAGATCGAGACCATCCTGGCTACGGTGAAACCCCATCTCTACTAAAAATACAAAAAAAAAAAAAAAATTAGCCAGGCATGGTGGCGGGCACCTGTAGTCCCAGCTACTTGGGAGGCTGAGGCAGGAGAATGGCGTGAACCCAGAAGGCAGAGCTTGCAGTGAGCCGAGATCACGCCACTGCACTCCAGCCTGGGCGACAGAGCGAGACTCAGTCTCAAAAAAAATTAAAATAAAATAAAATAAAAAGGAAATCCTTCCATTTGCAGCAAATATACTAAGTTAAAGAAGCCGGACACAGTAGGACAGATACTACATGATCTCACGTACATAAGGAATCTAAAATATTCAAACTGAGAAGCAGAGAGTAGAATGGTGGTTGCCAAGGGCTAGGGCATTGCTCATTGGGTGCAAAGCTTCAGCTATGCCAGAGGGATGAGTCCTAGAGACCTCCTGTACAGCATAGTGACTATAGTTAACAACACTGTATTACATACTTAAAGATTTACTGGAAATAGATCTTATGTTAAGTGTCCTTATCACAAAACATAAGAATTAGAAATGAAGAGAGAGGGAGCAAACTTTTTGAAGTGATGAATATGTTTATGGCATTCATTGTGGTGACGTTTTTATGGGTATATACTTACTTCAAACTCATCAAGTGGTATACCTTAAATATGTATATCGATAAAATGGTTTTTAAAAATACATGAAGCAAATGCACATTTCTCCAAAGAAAATATACAAATGGCCGATAAGTACATGAAAAGATGCTCAACATCATTAGTCATGAGAGAAATGCAAATCAAAACCAGAATGAGATGCCACTTACTGGTAATGAAAAAGATAATAGCAAGTGTTAATGAGGCTGTGGAGAAATCGGAACCCTTATACACTGCTGAGGAGGAAGTAAAATAGTGCAGGCACTTTGGAAAACAGTTTGGCAGTCCTGGAATGGTGAAACATCGAGTTAACCATATGATCCTGCAAATCTACTCCTAGGTATACACTCAAGAGAAATGAGAACATGTGCTCACAGAAAAGCTTGTATATGAGTGGTTATAGCAGCACTATCCATAATAACCAAAAAGCTGGAAATAATCCAAATATCCATAAAATGTGGTATATCCACACGATGAAATATTACTCAAAAATACAAAGAAATGAAGTGCTAATATGTGCTACAACATGGATGAAACTGAAAAAAAAGTATGTTGAATGAAAGACGCCACGTATAAAGCACCGCAGGTTGTGCGATTTCATTAATATGAAATGTCCAGAACAGGCAAATCTACAGAGACAGAAAGATTACTGAACAGAAAGATTACAGACAAAAATAACAGATTAGTGGTTGTTTAGGGTGGGGGGGTTGCCGGTGAAGTTGGGAAGGAATTTGGTGGGGGCCAGGAAGCTAAGGGTACAGATTTTCAAGTAACGAGAATACTTTAAAATTAATTGTGGGTGGGTGCAGTGGCTCACGCCTGTAATCTCAGCACTTCGGGAGGCCAAGGAGGGCAGATCACTTGAGGCCAGGAATTCAAGACCAGCATGGCCGACATGGCAAAACCCCGTCTTTACTAAAAACATTAAAATTAGCTGGGTGTGGCGACACATGACTGTAGTCCCAGTTACTAGGGAGGCTGAGATGAAAGGATCGCTTAAGCCCAAGAGTTCAAGGCTGCAGTGACCTATGATTGCACCACTACACTCCAGCTGGGATGACAGAATGAGACCCTGCCTCTAAATAAAATAAATACATAAATAAATAAGAGAAGTCCAGCAGCATATTAAAAGGATAATACACATGACTAAAGTGGAGTTTATCCCAGGAGTGCAGTGTCAGTTAAACATTTAAAAATTATTTAATGGGGCCAGGCGCGGTGGCTCACGCCTGTAATCCCAGCACTTTGGGAGGCCGAGGCGGGCGGATCACGAGGTCAGGAGATCGAGACCATCCTGGCTAACACAGTGAAACCCTATCTCTACTAAAAAATACAAAAAAAATTAGCCGGGCATGGTGGCGGCCACCTGTAGTCCCAGCTACTCGGGAGGCTGAGACAGGAGAATGGCATGAACCCGGGAGGCGGAGCTTGCAGTGAGCTGAGATCGCACCACTGCACTCCAGCTCGGGCGACAGAATGAGACTCCGTCTCAAAAAAAAAAAAAAAAAATTTAATGGGCCTGGGCACGGTGGCTCACGCCTGTAATCCCAGCACTTTGGGAAGTCAAGGTGGGCGGATCCCGAGGTCAGGAGTTCGAGACCAGCCTGGCCAACATGGTGAAACCCCGTCTCTACTAAAAATACAAAAAATTAGCCAGGCGTGGTCGTGGGCGCCTATAGTCCCAGCTACTCGGGAGGCTGAAGCAGGAGAATCGCTTGAACCCACGAGGGGGAGGTTGCAGTGAGCTGAGATCACACGCCACTGCACTCTAGCCTGAGCCACAGTGCAAGATTCTGTCTCAAAAAAAAAAAAGTATTGGAAGCAAGAAAAGGATAAACTAAATCTTGCGGTACTGGATAAGAGGTGAAAGTATTATTGTGAACTCTCATTTAGCTTTATATATATATAAAATGGATAGATACAAAAACAATAATAGATACATGTGTGTACATGGGTTAGTATACAACATATATTACCTAACTGTCTCATCCAGCTTTGAGGGCTTAGAAGTAATACATCTCAGTATTGACAAGCACACCCAGTGTCCAGATCTTAGTTTCTAAAAAAACACTTTCCAGTGAAAAAACCAGATTACTTTAGAGAAATGGTGGATTCCAGGGTTGAAGCAGGGGAAATGCAAAATGAGCCTGTAGCACCTTATTATATCAGAAAGGAAGGATGTGCTCAACAAATGAAATGAAGCCGGGAATGAAGCCACAGGTGCACTGGCTCACACCTGTAATCCCAGCACTTTGGAAGGCTGAGGTAGGAGGATTGCTTGAGGCCGGGAGTTCAAGACCACACCAGCCTGGGCTGTAACATAGAAAGAACCTATCTCCATAAAATAAAAATAAATTAGTAATAATTTTTTAATTTAAAAAATGATGAAGGCATGTCAAAGGGACTCAAGAGCCAATATGAAAGGGCTCCCAATGGGCAAAGCTGGAAAAATGTGAGCAACAAATTATATAATGTCATATTGGTTTATAGTCCACTGTATAAAATAAATATACATTAGGGCTCTACACTAATATAATGAATAGATGAATAATAAGAGACAAATCTTTCATACAGAAAAATTAAAAATACTATGTGTAACTCCTGCCATCTGCAGGGGGTGGAGCCAACACCCCCAACCACCATCACTACAGAGAATGGGCTGGACTGAGTGGCTCACTTCTAAAGAAGCACTTATAGAAAGCGAACAGTGATGAAACCCAGAAAACACTGCCCTGACCAACGGATCAAGGTTAATGTCATCACTGTTGTCATATGTATGTTGTAGACTCCTGATAGGATGTGATGAGGATAATTTGTCTCTATGAGACTCTTTCCCAAAATTCATAATCCCAATATAATCATGAGAAAAATATTACACAAATTCAAATGGAGGGATATTCTACAAAATACCTAACTATCCCTCAAATTTGTCAAGGTCATATAAGAGCAAAGAAAGACTGAGAAATAGTCTCAAACTAGAGGAGTAAATCTGTAACAATCTGTGACTACTATAAATCTAAAGTTGTTCTAAAATAGTTTATTTAATACACCAGATTAACAAAGTAAAAACAGAAAAATTACATGATCATCTCAATAAATGTAGGAAAAGCTGGCAAAATTCAACACTCATTACTGTGTAAAAAATAAAAATATAAACCTCTTAGCAAAAATATAAACCTCTATATTTTTCTTAGAGAATAAAATATCCTCAGCCTAATAAATGGTATTTGTGAAAAACCCACAGTTAACATCACACTTAATGGCAACAGACTGAAGCTTTTCATGCTTAAGCTCAGGAACAAGAATGTCCACTCTCACCACTTCCATTCAGCATTGTACTGTGAAATAAGGCAAGAAAAACAAGGGCTTTCAGATAGAAAAACATAAATAAGGTTGGGCATGGAGGCTCACACCTGTAACCCCAGCACTTTGGGAGGCCGAGTTGGGTGGTTCACCCGAGGTCAGGAGTTCGAGACCAGCCTGGCCAACATGGTGAAACCCCATCTCTACTAAAAATACAAAAATTAGCCAGGCGTGCTGGCACATGCCTGTAGTCCCAACTACTCGTGAGACTGAGGTAGGAGAATCACTTGAACCTGGGAGGCAGAAGTTGCAGTGAGCCAAGATTGTGCCACTGCACGCCAGCCTGGAAGACAGAGCGAGACTCCATCTCAAAAATAAAGAAAGAAAGAAATAACACTGTCTTTATTCACAGAAGACTTGATTGTCTATGTTGAAATCCAGTGGCAGCTACAAACAGAGCACCAGAATTAACAAATGAACTTGGCATGGTTTCAAGATACATGGGAACCACACAAAAATCAATTGTATTTCTGTATACTGGCAGTCAACAATTGAATATCAGAATATGAAATATTTAGAAATAATTCTGACAAAATATGTGAAAAACCTGCACACTCAAAATTACAAAACATTGCTGAGAGAAATTGAAGCAGCCCTAAATAAATGAATAGATACCCTGAGCTCATGACTCAGAGGACGCAGTACCGTAAATAAATGAATAGATACCCTGAGCTCACGACTCAGAGGACGCAGTACCGTAAATAAATGAATAGATACCCTGAGCTCATGACTCAGAGGACACAGTACCCTAAATAAATGAATAGATACACTGAGTTCATGATTCAGAGGACACAGTACCCTAAACAAATGAATAGATACCCTGAGCTCATGACTCAGAGGATGTAGTACCCTAAATAAATGAATAGATACACTGAGTTCATGATTCAGAGGACACAGTACCCTAAATAAATGAATAGATACCCTGAGCTCATGACTCAGAGGACGCAGTACCCTAAATAAATGAATAGATACCCTGAGCTCATGACTCAGAGGACGCAGTACCCTAAATAAATGAATAGATACCCTGAGCTCATGACTCAGAGGACGCAGTACCCTAAATAAATGAATAGATACCCTGAGCTCATGACTCAGAGGACGCAGTATTGTTAGGGTGTCATGTCTTCCCAAATTGATCTGCAAATTCAACACAATCACAATGAAAACATCAGCAGATTCTTTTAAGTTAATTCTTTCAATTGGCAAGCAAAAATTGTATATATTTCTGATATACGACATGATGTTTTGATATATGTATACATTGTGGAATGGCTAAATCAAGCTATTTAACATTATCTCACATAATTATCATTTCATTTTCTTTATAGTAAAAACACTTAAAATCCACTCTCTTGGCAATTTTTATGTGTACAATACATTGTTATTAACTATAGTCACCATGATGTGTAATACATGTCTTGAACTTACTGCTCCTGAATAACTGAAATTTTGTGTCCTTTGACCAAAGTCTCCCAATCTTCCCACCCCCCAGCCTCTGGAAACCACCATTTTACTCTGTTTCTATGACTTAGACTTTACTACATTCCACATATAAGTGACATCATGCATCATGTATCTTTCCGTATCTGGCTTATTTCACCTAATGTCCTCCAGTTCATCCACATTTTCACAAATAATAAAATCTCCTTTTGATGGCTATGTAGTATTCCACTGTGTATATATATCACAGTTTCTTGATCCATTCATCTTGTTGATGGATGCTTAGGTTGATACCATATCTTGGCTATTGTTAACAGTGCTGCAATGAACAAAGGAATGCAAATATTTCTTTAACATACTGATTTCCTGTTGAAATCTATATTCCTTTACATGTATACCCAGTAATGGGATTGCTGAATCTCAGCAGAATTTTTTTTTTTTTTTGAGACGGAATCTCGCTCTGTTGTCCAGGCTGGAGTGCAGTGGCACAATCTTGGCTCACTGCAAGCTCTGCCTCCTGGGTTCACGCCATTCTCCTGCCTCAGCCTCCTGAGTAGCTGTGATTACAGGCATGCACCACCATGTCCGGCTAATTTTTGTATTTTTAGTAGAGATGGGGTTTCACCTTGTTAGCCAGGATGGTCTCGATCTCCTGACCTCATGATCCGCCCACCTCGGCCTCCCAAAGTGCTGGGATTACAGGCGTGAGCCACCGCGCCCGGCCAGAATTTTTATTGTAGAAATCAACAGACTCATGCTAAAATTCATATGGAAATACAAAGGACCTAAACCCGTCAAAACAGCTTTAAGAAAACACAGATGTTGGAAGATGTATACTACCTGATTTCCAGACTTATTATAAACCCATTTGCAGTAAGATGGTGTGGTACTGGTGTCAAGATAAACAAATACATGAAAGGAACAAAATAGCTCAAAAGCAGAGCCAGACATATATGAACGACTGATTTTCTTCAGAGGTACAAAGGCATTTCAATGGAAAAAGGAGAATCTTTTCAACATATAGTGCTGGAGCAATTGGACATCATATACCAAAGAATTTTCAGCCGGGCACGATGGCTCATGCCTATAATCCTCAGCACTCTGGGAGGCTGAGATGGGCAGATCACCTGAGGTCAGGATTTCAAGACCAGCCTGGCCAACATGGTGAAACCCCATCTCTACTAAAAATACAAAAAAATTAGCCAGGCGTGGTAGTGAGTGCCTGTAATCACAGCTACTCAGGAGGTTGAGGCAGGAGAATCACTTGAACCTGGGAGGCAGAGGTTGCAGTGAGCTGAGATCATGCCACTGCACTCCAGCCTGGGCAACAAGAGTGAAACTATGTCTCAGGAAAAAAAAAAAAAAAATTTCAATCCAAGTTCATACCAAATACAAAAATTAACTCAAAATGGATCATAAACCTAAGTGAAAAACCTAAAATTCTAACATTTCTAGAATAAAACATAAAAGAACATTTTTGTGACCTTGGGTTAAGCAAAAATCTCTTAGACCATACACCAAAAGCATGATCCATGATTTCAAGATACATGATAACCACACAAAAATCAATTGTATTTCTGTATACTAGGAATCAACAATTGAGTATCAGAATATGAAATACTTATAAATAATTCTGATAAATAAATAAATAAATAATTCTGACAACATATGTGAAAAACCTGCACACTCAAAACTATAAAACATTGCTGAGACAACTGAGGAAGTCCTAAATAAATGAATAGATATACCAAATAATATGTAACAATAAAGAATACAGTGATTAGTTGTACTCCCTCAAAGTTTAAAACTGCTGAGCTCCAAAAGACACCGTTTAGAGAATTAAAAAGCAAGCTCTGACTTGGAGAAGACATTTACAATGCATACAGCTGACAAAGAACTTACATTCAGCACGTAAAAAGAACTCTCAAAACTCTATAAAAAGATGACAACAGAAGTTTTTAAATAGGCAAAAGATTTGAACAGACACTTCCCCAAAGAAGATATATGGATGACAATGAGCACATGAAATATGCTTCACATCACCAGTCATTAAGCAAATGCAAATTAAAACCACAATGAAATATTATCACACACCTATCAGAATGACTAAAATTAAAAAGACTGACCAGGGTGGTGGAGCCAAGATGGCCCAATAGGAACAGCTCCGGTCTACAGCTCCCAGCGTGAGCGACGCAGAAGACGGGTGATTTCTGCATTTCCATCTGAGGGTTCATCTCACTAGGGAGTGCCAGACAGGGGGCGCAGGACAGTGGGTGCAGCGCACCGTGCACGAGCTGAAGCAGGGCGAGGCATTGCCTCACTCGGGAAGCGCAAGGGGTCAGGGAGTTCCCTTTCCGAGTCAAAGAAAGGGGCGACAGACGGCACCTGGAAAATCGGGTCACTCCCACCCTAATACTGCGCTTTTCCAACGGGCTTAAAAAACGGCACACCGGGAGATTATATCCTGCATGTGGCTCGGAGGGTCCTACGCCCACGGAGTCTCGCTGATTGCTAGCACAGCAGTCTGAGATCAAACTGCAAGGCGGCAGCGAGGCTGGGGGAGGGGCGCCCGCCATTGCCCAGGCTTGATTAGGTAAACAAAGCAGCCGGGAAGCTCGAACTGGGTGGAGCCCACCACAGCTCAAGGAGGCCTGCCTGCCTCTGTAGGCTCCACCTCTGGGGGCAGGGCACAGACAGACAAAAAGACAGCAGTAACCTCTGCAGACTTAAATGTCCCTGTCTGACAGCTTCGAAGAGAGCAGTGGTTCTCCCAGCACGCAGCTGGAGATCTGAGAACCGGCAGACTGCCTCCTCAAGTGTGTCACTGACCCCTGACCCCTGAGCAGCCTAACTGGGAGGCACCCCCCAGTAGGGGCAGACTGACACTTCACACGGCCGGGTACTCCTCTGAGACAAAACTTCCAGAGGAACGATCAGACAGCAGCATTCGCGGTTCATGAAAAACCACTGTTCTGCAAACACCGCTGTGGATACCCAGGCAAACAGAGTCTGGAGTGGACCTCTAGCAAACTCCAACAGACCTGCAGCTGAGGGTCCTGTGTGTTAGAAGGAAACTAACAAACAGAAAGGACATCCACACCGAAAACCCATCTGTACATCACCATCATCAAAGACCAAAAGTAGATAAAACCACAAAGATGGGGAAAAAACAGAGCAGAAAAACTGGAAACTCTAAAAAGCAGAGCGCCTCTCCTCCTCCAAAGGAACGCAGCTCCTCACCAGCAATGGAACAAAGCTGGACAGAGAATGACTTTGACGAGCTGAGAGAAGAAGGCTTCAGATGATCAAACTACTCCAAGCTACAGGAGGAAATTCAAACCAATAGCAAAGAAGTTTAAAACTGTGAAAAAAAATTAGACAAATGGATAACTAGAATAACCAACGCAGAGAAGTCCTTAAAGGAGCTGATGGAGCTGAAAGCCAAGGCTCGAGAACTACGTGAAGAATGCAGAAGCCTCAGGAGCCGATGCGATCAACTGGAAGAAAGGGTATCAGTGATGGAAAATGAAATGAATGAAATGAAGCGAGAAGGGAAGTTTAGAGAAAAAAGAATAAAAAGAAACGAACAAAGCCTTCAAGAAATATGGGACTATGTGAAAAGACCAAATCTACATCTGATTGGTGTACCTGAAAGTGACGGGGAGAATGGAACCAAGTTGGAAAACACTCTGCAGGATATTATCCAGGAGAACTTCCCCAATCTAGCAAGGCAGGCCAACATTCAGATTCAGGAAATACAGAGAACGCCACAAAGATACTCCTCGAGAAGAGCAACTCCAAGACACATAATTGTCAGAATCACCAAAGTGGAAATGAAGGAAAAAATGTTAAGGGCAGCCAGAGAGAAAGGTCGGGTTCCCCACAAAGGGAAGCCCATCAGACTAACAGCGGATCTCTCGTCAGAAACTCTACAAGCCAGAAGAGAGTGGGGGCCAATATTCAACATTCTTAAAAGAATTTTCAGCTTTCCACAGCGCGGGGGAACGGGAGGCCGCAGGATGGTCAAGCTGACGGCGGAGCTGATCGAGCAGGCGGCGCAGTACACCAGCGCGGTGCGCGACCGGGAGCTGGACCTCCGGGGGTATAAAATTCCCGTCATTGAAAATCTAGGTGCTACGTTAGACCAGTTTGATGCTATTGATTTTTCTGACAATGAGATCAGGAAACTGGATGGTTTTCCTTTGTTGAGAAGACTGAAAACGTTGTTAGTGAACAAAACAGAATATGCCGTATAGGTGAGGGACTTGATCAGGCTCTGCCCTGTCTGACAGAACTCATTCTCACCAATAATAGGCTCGTGGAACTGGGTGATCTGGACCCTCTGGCATCTCTCAAATCGCTGACTTACCTAAGTATCCTAAGAAATCCAGTAACCAATAAGAAGCATTACAGATTGTATGTGATTTATAAAGTTCCGCAAATCAGAGTACTGGATTTCCAGAAAGTGAAACTAAAGAGCGTCAGGAAGCAGAGAAAATGTTCAAGGGCAAACGGGGTGCACAGCTTGCAAAGGATATTGCCAGGAGAAGCAAAACTTTTAATCCAGGTGCTGGTTTGCCAACTGACAAAAAGAAAGGTGGGCCATCTCCAGGGGATGTAGAAGCAATCAAGAATGCTATAGCAAATGCTTCAACTCTGGCTGAAGTGGAGAGGCTGAAGGGGTTGCTGCAGTCTGGTCAGATCCCTGGCAGAGAACGCAGATTGGGGCCCACTGATGATGGTGAAGAAGAGATGGAAGAAGACACAGTCACAAACGGGTCCTGAGCAGTGAGGCAGATGTATAATAATAGGCCGTCTTGGAACAAGTCTTGCTTTTCAAACATAGTATAATAGCCTTGTTTGTGTTAGCAAAGTGGAATCTATCAGCATGGTTGAAATGCTTAAGACTGCTGCTGATAATTTTGTAATATAAGTTTTGAAATCTAAATGTCAATTTTCTACAAATTATAAAAATAAACTCCACTCACTGTGCTACCAAAAAAAGAAAAAGAAAAGAATTTTCAACCCAGAATTTCATATCCAGCCAAACTAAGCTTCATAAGTGAAGGAGAAATAAAATACTTTACAGACAAGCCAATGCTGAGAGATTTTGTCACCACCAGGCCTGTGCTAAAAGAGATCCTGAAGGAAGCACTAAACATGGAAAGGAAAAACCAGTACCAGCCACTGCAAAAACATGCCAAAATGTAAAGACCATCAAGGCTAGGAAGAAACTGCAGCAACTAACAAGCAAAATAACCAGCTAACATCATAATGACAGGACCAAATACACACATAACAATATTAACTTTAAGTGTAAATGGGCTAAATGCTCCAATTAAAAGACACAGACTGGCAAATTGGATAAAGAGTCAAGGCCCATCAGTGTGCTGTATTCAGGAAACCCATCTCATGTGCAGAGACACACATAGGCTCAAAATAAAGGGATGGAGGAAGATCTACCAAGCAAATGGAAAATAAAAAAAGGCAGGGGTTGCAATCCTAGTCCCTGATAAAACAGACTTTAAACCAACAAAGATCAAAAGAGGCAAAGAAGGCCCATTACATAATGGTAAAGGGATCAATTTAACAAGAAGAGCTAACTATCCTAAATATATATGCACCCAATACAGGAGCACCCAGATTCATAAAGCAAGTCCTTAGTGACTACAAAGAGACTTAGACTCCCACACAATAATCATGGGAGACTTTAACACCCCACTGTCAACATTAGACAGATCAATAAGAGAGAAAATTAACAAGGATACCCAGGAATTGAACTCAGCTCTGCACCAAGCAGACCTAATAGACATCTACAGAACTCTCCACCTCAAATCAATAGAATATACATTTTTTTCAGCACCACACCACACCTATTCCAAAATTGACCACATAGTTGGAAGTAAAGCACTCCTCAGCAAATGTAAAAGAACAGAAATTATAACAAACTGTCTCTCAGACCACAGTGCAATCAAACTAGAACTCAGGACTAAGAAACCCACTCAAAATCGCTCAACTACATGGAAACTGAACAACCTGCTCCTGAATGACTACTGGGTACATAACGAAATGAAGGCAGAAATAAAGATGTTCTTTGAAACCAACGAGAACAAAGACACAACATACCAGAATCTCTGGGACACATTCAAAGCAGTGTGGAGGGAAATTTATAGCACTAAATGCCCACAAGAGAAAGCAGGAAAGATCCAAAATTGACACCCTAACATCACAATTAAAAGAACTAGAAAAGCAAGAGCAAACACATTCAAAAGCTAGCAGAAGGCAAGAAATAACTAAAATCAGAGCAGAACTGAAGGAAATAGAGACACAAAAAACCCTTCAAAAAATTAATGAATCCAGGAGCTGGTTTTTTGAAAAGATCAACAAAATTGATAGACCGCTAGCAAGACTAATAAAGAAGAAAAGAGAGAAGAATCAGACCCAATAAAAAATGATAAAGGGGATATCACCACCGATCCCACAGAAATTCAAACTACCATCAGAGAATACTACAAACACCTCTATGCAAATAAACTAGAAAATCTAGAAGAAATGGATAAATTCCTCTACACATACACCCTCCCAAGACTAAACCAGGAAGAAGTTGAATCTCTGAATAGACCAATAACAGGCTCTGAAATTGTGGCAATAATCAATAGCTTACCAACCAAAAAAAGTCCAGGACCAGATGGATTCACAGCCGAATTCTGCCAGAGGTACAAGGAGGAGCTGGTACCCTTCCTTCTGAAACTATTCCAATCAATAGAAAAAGAGAGAATCCTCCCTAACTCATTTTATGAGGCCAGCATCATCCTGATACCAAAGCCTGGCAGAGACACAACCAAAAAAGAGAATTTTAGACCAATATCCTTGATGAACATTGATGCAAAAATCCTCAATAAAATACTAGCAAACCAAATCCAGCAGCACATCAAAAAGCTTATCCACCATGATCAAGTGGGCTTCATCCCTGGGATGCAAGGCTGGTTCAACATACGCAAACTGATAAATGTAATCCAGTATATAAACAGAACCAAAGACAAAAACCACATGATTATCTCAATAGATGCAGAAAAGGCCTTTGACAAAATTCAACAATGCTTTATGCTAAAAACTCTCAATAAATTAGGTATTGATGGGACGTATCTCAAAATAATAAGAGCTATTTATGACAAACCCACAGCCAATATCATACTGAATGGGCAAACACTGGAAGCATTCCCTTTGAAAACGGGCACAAGACAGGGATGCCCTCTCTCACCACTCCTATTCAACATAGTGTTGGAAGTTCTGGCCAGGGCAATTAGCAGGAGAAGGAAATAAAGGGTATTCAATTAGGAAAAGAGGAAGTCAAATTGTCCCTGTTTGCAGATGACATGATTGTATATCTAGAAAACCCCATTGTCTTAGCCCAAAATCTCCTTAAGCTGATAAGCAACTTCAGCAGTCTCAGGATACAAAATCAATGTACAAAAATCACAAGCATTCTTATACACCAATAACAGACAAACAGAGAGCCAAATCATAAGTGAACTCCCATTCACAATTGCTTCAAAGAGAATAAAATACCTAGGAATCCAACTTACAAGGGATGTGAAGGACCTCTTCAAGGAGAACTACAAACCACTGCTCAATGAAATAAAAGAGGATACAAACAAATGGAAGAACATTCCATGCTTATGGGTAGGAAGAATCAATATCATGAAAATGGCCGTACTGCCCAAGGTAATTTATAGATTCAATGCCATCCCCATCAAGCTACCAATGACTTTCTTCACAAGATTGGAAAAAACTACTTTAAAGTTCATATGGAACCAAAAAAGAGTCCACATCGCCAAGTCAATCCTAAGCCAAAAGAACAAAGCTGGAGACATCACGCTACCTGACTTCAAACTATACTACAAGGCTACAGTAACCAAAACAGCATGGTACTGGTACCAAAACAGAAATATAGATCAATGGAACAGAACAGAGCCCTCAGAAATAATGCCACATATCTACAACCATCTGATCTTTGACAAACCTGACAAAAACAAGAAAGGGGGAAAGGATTCCCTATTTAATAAATGGTGCTGGGAAAACTGGCTAGCCATATATAGAAAGCTGAAACTGGATCACTTCCTTACACCTTATACAAAAATTAATTCAAGATGGATTAAAAACTTAAATATTAGACCTAAAACCATAAAAACCCTAGAAGAAAACCTAGGCAACACCATTCAGTACATAGGCATGGGCAAGGACTTCATGTCTAAAACACCAAAAGCAATGGCAACAAAAGCCAAAATTGACAAATGGGATCTAATTAAACAAAAGAGCTTCTGCACAGCAAAACAAACTACCATCAGAGTGAACAGGCAACCTACAAAATGGGAGAAAATTTTCGCAACCTACTCATCTGACAAAGGGCTAATATCCAGAATCTACAATGAACTCAAACAAATTTACAAGAAAAAACAACCCCATCAAAAAGTGGGTGAAGGATATCAACAGACACTTCTCAAAATAAGACATTTATGCAGCCAAAAAACACATGAAAAAATGCTCATCATCACTGGCCATCAGAGAAATGCAAATAAAAACCACAGTGAGATACCATCTCACACCAGTTAGAATGGCGATCATTAAAAAGTCAGGAAACAACAGGTGCTGGAGAGGTTGTGGAGAAATAGGAACACTTTTACACTGTTGGTGGGACTGTAAACTAGTTCAACCATTGTGGAAGTCAGTGTGGCGATTCCTCAGGGATCTAGAACTAGAAATACCATTTGACCAGACACCCCATTACTGGGTATATACACAAAGGATTATAAATCATGCTGCTATAAAGACACATGCACACATATGTTTATTGTGGCACTATTCACAATAGCAAAGACTTGGAACCAACCCAAATGTCCAACAACGATAGACTGGAGTAAGAAAATGTGGCACATATACACCATGGAATACTATGCAGCCATAAAAAATGAAGAGTTCATGTCCTTTGTAGGGACATGGATGAAACTGGAAACCATCATTCTCAGCGAACTATCGCAAGGACAAAAAACCAAACACCACATGTTCTCACTCATAGGTGGGAACTGAACAATGAGAACACATGGACACAGGAAGGGGAACATCACACTCCGGAGACTGTTGTGGGATAGGGGGAGGGGGGAGGGATAGCATTAGGAGATATACCTAATGCTAAATGACGAGTTAATGGGTGCAGCACACCAGCATGGCACATGTATACATATGTAACAAACCTGCACATTGTGCACATGTACCCTAAAACTTAAAGTATAATAATAATAAAAGAAAATAAAAAAGGCTGACCATACCAAATCTTGTCAAGGATGTGGAAGAGTCGGGACTCTCATATACTGCTGATGGGACTGTGAAATGTTGCAATCACTTTGAGAAAACACTCAATGTTTTTCAAAAAGTGCTTTTTAACATATACCTACCAGCCATTCCTCACACACATGGTTAGCCAAGAGATATGAACATGTATGCCCATACAAATCCTTGTATTTGAGTGCGCATAGCTGCTTCATTTGGAATAGCGCAGACTGGAAACAACCCAATGTCCATCAATAGGTAGATAGGAAAACAAACTGTGGTATAGCCGTGTGATGAAATACTCAGCAATGGAAAGAAATAAATCACCGATACACAAAATGAATCTCAAAATGATTATGCTGAGTGAAAGAAGATTGATTTTTAAAAGGGCTTGCTATAGGGTTTCATTTATATAAAATTATGAGAAAAGCAAATTGATATGAGACAAAGCAGACCAGACATTGCCTGGGGCAGGAGAGGGGACAGGCTGGAGGGATTGCAAAGTGCCACAAGGAAACTTTAGGGAGTGACGGACGTGTTCACTCTCTGGGTTGTGGTGATTGCTTCAGGGATGCATTTGTATGTCAAAACTTACACCCACCGTATGATCCAGTCATTCCACCCCTAAGTATTTACCCGAGAGACATGAAAGCACATGCCCATGCAAAAACCCATGTGTAGTGTCCAGAATTAGATCACTGATGATTCTTTACCAAGAATAGAGTTTCTGGAGTAAACTCCATTAAGCTAACTTCTGTTTCTTGGTCAGTTTTCTACATATTAAAGATGAACCGTTTTCATTTTTTCACATTTCCATTGTAAATTTGCTAAGATTGGATTCACCAGAACATTTTCCCTTGCAAATATTGTAAGATTTCCTATATTGATGAGAGGCACAGCGAGGACCTCTGCCTCTGTGAGTGTCAATATTGTGCATGATCCTTGCCGCGCCCACTGTTCTGGCATCAGAGTCTTGCCCTGTACAGTTTAGCCACTGTCAAACCATTTTCTTTTATTGTTCCGATCAGTAAGCTTCATTATGAATTCAGTTTTTACAAATATTTTTCATTTGCTTAGCCGTCCCATGAGAAAACAGTGAGCACATCCCTCAGATATCTAAGTGTGCACACCCCTCGGTTGTCTAGGTGGGCACACCCCTCGGATGTCTAGGTGGGCACACCCCTCGGTTGTCCAGGTGGGCACACCCCTCGGTTGTCTAGGTGGGCACACCCCTCAGATTGTCTAGGTGGGCACACCCCTCGGATGTCTAGGTGGGCACACCCCTCGGATGTCTAGGTGGGCACACCCCTCGGTTGTCTAGGTGGGCACACCCCTCGGTTGTCTAGGTGGGCACACTCCTCGGATGTCTAGGTGGGCACACCCCTCGGATGTCTAGGTGGGCACACCCCTCAGATTGTCTAGGTGGGCACACCCCTCGGATGTCTAGGTGGGCACACCCCTCGGATGTCTAGGTGGGCACACCCCTCAGATTGTCTAGGTGGGCACACCCCTCGGATGTCTAGGTGGGCACACCCCTCAGATTGTCTAGGTGGGCACACCCCTCGGATGTCTAGGTGGGCACACTCCTCGGATGTCTAGGTGGGCACACCCCTCGGATGTCTAGGTGGGCACACCCCTCAGATTGTCTAGGTGGGCACACCCCTCGGATGTCTAGGTGGGCACACTCCTCGGATGTCTAGGTGGGCACACCCCTCGGATGTCTAGGTGGGCACACCCCTCGGTTGTCTAGGTGGGCACACCCCTCGGATGTCTAGGTGGGCACACCCCTCGGTTGTCCAGGTGGGCACACCCCTCAGTTGTCTAGGTGGGCACACCCCTCGGATGTCTAAGTGGGCACACCCCTCGGATGTCTAGGTGGGCACACCCCTTAGATGTCTAGGTCCCTGGAGTTTTGGTTTGTCACACAGCTGGTCATTCTTCCATTTCTCCTGTCACTATGAGCAGGAGACACCTGCTTCACGATCTGAAAGTTTAACCTTTTCAGGGTTAAACTATCCATAGGAACATGAAGGCAGATCAAAGAGCGTCAATTTTAAAAATGAAAATTGGAACATCTATTACATTGGTAAAGATAGACACATTTCGTAAGAACAGTGTCGGCTTAGATGTAGGGAAATGGGCACTCTCATGCATGGAAGGCTAAACATTCCTTCCTAGGAAAGAACTGTGCCACTTTGTCTTCTAAGTATCCCTATTGTGGAAGATCAATTTAGAGACATAAGATGGGCCTGTACACACTAACATAGAAATACCTCTATATTTGCTAAATGGAAAAGCAAGTCATAGAGTAGTGTGAATGGTGAAGGATCAGGAGATTATGTGACATGTCACCATATTAATGTGCATGTGAAGTTTCCAGGAATCACGGCTTGAATTCTCCACCCAGTCTATGGCCTCTCATAGGGTGTTCCTTGAGAGTAGGCCCTGTCTCTCCAAGGAGGCCCAGATGTCAGCTATAGATGATAGGCCCAGGGTAAGATTTTCTCCATCACTGGGGAGAGAAGAAACTAAGGACAAGGAGCATTTATGGGGAGAGAGAACCAAGAAAATCAACTCTGGATCACAGAAAGCTCAGAAGAGAAGCAGTGAAGTCTCTGGGGTAGAAAAAAGCTGCTGCTGCTGTAGCTCCACCCCAACTTGTCCAAAACCCCTTTGTGACCGCAGCACAACTTGCCCCATACTTCTATGTGCTGGCCCACCTGGCTCTGTGTCTGGCTCAGGGTCATTGAGGGTGAATCCCAAGCTGCCGTTGTTACGGCTTCTGCACGGGGCCTTGCATTTTGTATGCTTAGTATTTAGACAATGTCAAGTGTCTGGCACCAGAGTACAAAGGGAGATTAAGAAACTGGCTTTAGGAGAGAGAGCCTAAAAGTCAATAAAATGAATTACCAACTCCAACTTCAGCAGCACCAGCTCTTAAGCCAAGGCAGATAGAATGTTTTAAGTGTGATCAACTGTTACTATCCTACAGAGCCATGGGCCATTCGACTCAATACGCAAGCCCTCCTATGTGGCCAAAGCATTTCAGGGGTCATAAGAGGAAAACGGCAGGCACCGAAGTGCCCCTGCAGATAAGCGTAAGATTATGCACCAGCAGTCACCACCAGCTGGCCCATGAATGACAGCCCACGTTCGTGGGCATTTCTGGTGTGTCAAGACCTGCTTTAATACTCCGCATCTGTCCTTATTTCATGGTCACACAGCCCTCTGGCACATCTTCCCCAGAGCACGGAGCTTATGCGGGGTAGAGCAGGGTATTTGCTTGAACCCAGGTAGACCAATAAATTTTGAAGATGAAGATTCACAGCTGCTCCATCAGTCCAGGTTCCAGCTCCAGCAGGAAAATGACTGGTCCTTTGAGCTTTCTCAGCCAGGGTTCCTCCCACCTGCCATGGCACCTTCTCTCTGCCACCTGTCTTGGTAACCGGGGCATAGGACCACCTTGCGCTTGACTCACACAGGCAGCTAGGTGGACACACGTATGAGTGAAAGCTTGTTGCAATGACTGCTCAGCCAAATGCCAAGGTTTTCTCTCTTTCTGAGACCTGCCATCTTCAGTCTCACAAGGGGTTAAACCAGCAGTCAAGTTTTGCATTTTTACTCCCTGATCAGAGTGGGCGGTTGGCCTGAACCTATCAGGATTTCCTTCTTTTTTTTTTTTTTTTTTTTTTTGAGATGGAGTCTCACTCTATCACCCAGGCTGGAGTGCAGTGGCGTGATCTCGCCTTACTGCAACCTCTGCCTCCCGGGTTCAAGTGATTCTCCTGCCTCGGCCTCCCGAGTAGCTGGGATTACAGGCACCGCCACCTCACCTGGCTAATTTTTCTGTGTTTTTAGTAGAGATGGAGTTTCACCATATTGGTCAGGCTGGAGGATTTCTTCCCCAGGATTTTGCAAATAGATGTGAACAGTTCCAGGTGACAGCTGCCCCCAGCATGGGGCAGTGTGGGGCAGGTACTCTATGCAGACCAGGGTCATGCCTTGCCTGGGTTCCTCACCATTCTTGGTGTCTGCTTCTGGCCTTTCCTATTGGTTCTGTGTGACATCTTTGCATCCTTATCACTTAAATGGCTCTAACTGGTTTCTGTTCCTTGCAATGGAAGGTCTTAAAATAAATAACCCCAAATCCTAAGGAAGCCACTCAAAGCTCACTCGGGGGCATCCAAAAAGTATTCCCCATTGCAATTCCTAGAAAGCTCTAGCAAAGAATACATTTTTTAATTTGCTCAAATCCAGGAACTAATAAGATTTAACTACAGGCAAGTAATGAACAGGCTTGTTGGTGTCAACTGGACACTAACAAGCCACAAGCAAAATTGTGTTTGGTAGTAGACACTTGTTTTGGTGGCCTAGTGGCCTCCTTAGCCTTTGTGTTCTGGGGAGTTCAACCTTCATGCAGAATCTTCTCTGTGGGTGTCAACACCACCAGCCTCCTGATAGAAGACTTGGACCCACACCCCCTCTTTCCCCGTCAGCTCACTCACAGCTGCTGCTTTGGGGGTCCACCCCCTTTGACTTGCACATGCAGAGATGGCTCTTTTATTTTCACCATTTGTCGTTTCTCCCTAAGTGTGAAATAAAGACCATCCCCGGTCTACGGCCCCAGGTCACCTTATTCCAGCATTAAAAATCAAGATTTTAAAAAACACGATTGGCACTAATGTACAAGCAATTCCGCCTTATTGTAGGGTGAAGGAGAGAGGGTAGATTTTATAGGGGAAATTTGGGTTGGGAGGGGGGATAGGAAGAAGTCCAGAAAGCATCTCTTGATGTATATGCATGTATACATACAGATATGTGTGTGTGTATATCTATATATATATGTTTATTTATTTATTTCATCTTTCCTTTTTCTCAGGAGTGAAGGGCTCACTGGGTCTGTTGAGAACCAGGTCAGATCAGGAGGTCGAGGTCAGTTCTGGGAGCTCTGTGGTCTCCATGTCATAATGGTTCTTTCCGTCGGAATAGGTCTTCCCCTTCAAGACCTCTATGAGCTGCTGTAGGCGCTTGGCAAAAGAAAGTCCTTGGGGAAGTTTTGTGGTAGATGAGGGTGTAGGTGGGGGTGGGGGTGGGGGTGGGGGTAAAGGTGAGGCTGGAGGTGGGGGTGGGGGCGGGGGTGAAGGTGGGGGTCGGGGCTGGGCTGCCGGTGGTCGGGGTGGAAGTGGTCGAGGGGGCGGTTGGAAATACCAAGGAAGGTGAGCAGAGATAGGGTGGGAGAAGGGGGGTCGAATCGGGGGCGGTCGAGTGGTGGGAGGTGGAGGGGTGGCCGATTGAATCATACGCAAAGCGTTAGAACCAATCTTGGAGGCGATCCAGTTCAGATAGGGCCAGGTGGCCGTGTAGATTCCGGGGCGCTTGGCACGGGCACAGCCTACCCCCCAGCTTGTGATTCCCACGACCACATAGGCGCTTTCCTTGCTGTCTTTGCACATGAGAGGCCCGCCGCTGTCTCCCTGTCCAGAAGGACACAGAGGTCACTATCTGCCTGAGCCACTCTTCCCCTGCCCAGAGGGGTCGGAAGGCTCTGGGAGGACAATTTCCACAGTGACATGGTCTCCTGCTGCTGTAAACACAAGTGGTTGTAGTAAAGTTTGAGGGGGTGTCAGGGGCTTCATTTGGGATGTGAGGAGGGTGTGAATTGTCAGGGCTTTCCTTGCAGTGAGATGAGCAAACCCACGTGTCCACAGGGGCACATGGCAGGGGCAGCCGGTGGCTGTCACCGCTCATCCCCACTGTGAGAGTAGGTGCTAGAAAAGGGACCGGGGAAGCAGTCACTAGAGAAGGGCCCTGGGCAGAGCAGTGGAGATAGTGGAGCTTGGGGATCCAAAAGGAGGATGTTCTCAGGGGCCGGGAGAGTCCTGGAGGGACCCAGGGGCCCAGAAGCCAGAAGGAAGGTTACCTGGCAGGTGTCGATCTTGCCTACAGGATACCCCGCGCACACATTGGTTGGCTGAACGCGCCCATTGTACCACTGGGTCGAGTTACACAAGTCCAGGTCGATGAGATCCACACGTGCCTCCATCAGTATAGATGATGGCCTGGGGGCTACAGTCAGACCACTCGGTGGTCAGTGATCACGGGAGACACGGACAAAAGCCCTGCCTCCTTGCCCCACCGAACCCCATCCTCTGTGATGCTCCAGTTAAACCTCAGACCCATCCAGTCGATGCCCCGACCCCTCCTTATACACCAGAAAGAGCAGACTAGAGGTGGTGGGAGGAGGTGGGGAAATGTTATCCAAATCAAGGCCAGAGGAGAGAGGAAGAGAGGAAGGAAGGGTGGAGGCCCGTGGACAGGTGGATGGGGGGTGGGTGTGCGTATTAACGATGGATTATGGAGGTTAGTTGCAGTATTACCAATAACACCTAGTGTGCACCAAGCACTCCCTGAGTCACATGGTCCCGTTATTCCCATTTTGGATCAGAAGGCTGGAGCACCGCCCACCCAGGTCACAGTAGAGAGGTGGTGGGGCTGCAGCCTGGCCTCAGGACTGCTCCTCTCCAGACTCCAGTCTGAGACACACTGTCCACTCCCACAGTCTGGCTGTAAGCCACTCCCCCTGCTTCTTGTCCCTCTTCAGAACTCCTCGGCTCAGCTGCGGACGGGATCTGCTGGAGCTGGGTCAATAAGTCCCTCCCCATATGCTGCATATCTGTTCCGAGGAGACCGCAGGGGAAGCTCGGGGCAGCGCCTCCACACACGGGCAGACCTGGCAGGGGCAGGGGCGGTTGAAACAACCCCGATGCGGACTTCCTTGAAAGCCCTGGACTTGGCCGGGCGCGGTGGCTCACGCCTGTCATCCCAGCACTTTGGGAGGCCGAGGCGGGCGGATCACGAGGTCAGGAGTTTGAGACCATCCTGGCTAACACGGTGAAACCCCGTCTCTACTAAAAATACAAAAAATTAGCCGGGCGTGGTGGCGGGCGCCTGTAGTCCCAGCTACTCGGGAGGCTGAGGCAGGAGAACGGCGGGAACCCGGGAGGCGGAGCTTGCAGTGAGCCGAGATGGCGCCACCGCACTCCAGCCTGGGCGACAGAGCGAGACTCCGTCTCAAACAAAAAAAGAAAGAAAGCGCTGGACTCTCTACCGTGACCTTTGGGTTAGAAAGACCCGATGCTACGGCGCATGCGCCAGCGTTGCTCCTTTTCAAGGGTCCCACAGACAGAAGGGTCCCCAACAGCAGCAGCCACTCTGGCCCCCACCGCAGCAGCACCTACAACCCTGGGGGTGGATCTGGACGTCACCTGCAGAGCAGATGGGAGCAGACTGAGGTAGGGGCAGACCCAGAACATAGCTGCACAGGCCAGGACGGGAGACAGGGGACACACGAGTGACGTGCATAGGGCTCGGCACACAGCAGGCGTCTGGTAAGCGGCTGCTGAACGAGTGCTCGCTGGCTTTCCGTTTTTTAATCCCCTTAGCCCCCACCTTTTCTTACCATCCAAGCAGCAGTGAGAGTTTTGTACATGCACTGCCCTTGGGGTAGGGGTGACATTGAAACAACAATGACAACAATCCTGGCTTATTAGCCATTAAGACGATTTTTTTTTTTTTTTGAGACGGAGTCTTGCTCTGTCGCCCAGGCTGGAGTGCGGTGGCGCCATCTCGGCTCACTGCAAGCTCCGCCTCCTGGGTTCACGCCATTCTCCTGCCTCAGCCTCCCGAGTAGCTGGGACTACAGGCGCCCGCCACCATGCCCGGCTAATTTTCTGTATTTTTAGTAGAAATGAGGTTTCACCGTGTTAGCCAGGATGGTCTCGATCTCACGACCTTGTGATCCACCCTCCTTGGCCTCCCAAAGTGCTGGGATTACAGGAGTGAGCCACCGCGCCCGGCCAAGATGACTTTTTAAGTCTAGGGCAGAGCCCATAGTCTTGAAAGCCATGGGTTTTATTGTGAAGAGCCAGGTGTCCTCAAACAGAAAAGGGTTTTCTAAATCCCAACACCTTGGCGGGTTTTTTTTGAGATGAAGTTTCGCTCTTGTTACCCAGGCTGGAGTGCAGTGGCGTGATCTTGGCTCACTGCAGCCTTCACCTCCCGGGTTCAAGTGATTCTCCTGCCTCAGCCTCCCGAGTAGCTGGGACAACAGGCATCCACCACCACACCCTGCTAATGTTTTATATTTTTAGTAGAGATTGGGTTTCACCATGTTGGCCAGGCTGGTCTCAAACTCCTGACCTCAGGTGATCCACCTGCCTCGGCCTCCCAAAGTGCTGGGTAAATTACAGGAATGAGCAACTGCACCCAGCCGACACCTGGGCTTTAAATAACAAATGCTTAAAAGTCTGCAGGGACTCAAAACCCAATGGGAAAGAAGCAATACCCAAGCAATACCCTTCCAGCCCCAAAGCAGATGAGTTGAAGGAGGTGGTAAGACATGGAAGGTTTGAAGGGATCACAGGAGTTGGAGCCTGGGGGTTTCTTTAAGACTTGGGCTTATGGGTACAGGATGTGTTTGCAAAAATGAAAAACAAAAAAACCCCAAACAGAAACAGAGTGATCCTATTAGGTTTATGGGAATTCCAGAACAAAAAAGGTTTTGCATGGCATCCAAGATATAGCTAGGACACTACAATCTGTCTGAGTAATAGAATAGGACAGCAACGGTTGGCAGTGGGGACCCTAAGATCAGCCTCCCAGGAACATAGGGACCCCCAAGAGCTGTGGACATCATCAGACAGGGGACAGAGCATGGCAGGCTAGGGGGCTGGACAGAGGCCAGGGCAGAGCCATGGGTATCGGCAGCTGGAATAGAGGCTGTCACTCCAGGCCAGAAGGGGATGGCCACGTGTCAAGTGAGGCCAGTGAGAACAAGGACAGCTGGGATGAGACTCCCTTCCCTGAGGGACAGGAGAGGTGACAAACCTGTCAGAAACTTAGACCACGCCCTCAGAGAAGGAAATAAGAGTTAAAGGAAGAATCCTCAAATTATTGACTTTTTGTTGTTGTTACCCAAAAAAGGCTGCGTTTTAGACTCATATGACTGAATTGCCTTGAATTAAGAAGCCTCATTATCCATTATCAAGAAAAAAAGAGATTGAGATGCACCACTTATGGAAAGCTGGAAGTATAGGTCACATGCAGAGATCAAGTCCTACTGGGTCTTGTCCTGCTGGCAAAACCTTGCTGCTCACTGCTGCCATTTAATGGGGTCACCTGTTGCTTCTGGGATAAATGGTATCTCTAGTGTGCCTAAGTATGTAGGGAGAGGTGTCTGGGCGTCTCTGACCACGGAGTCAGTAATGACAATTTGTTCTAGGTCACACCTGGGGCCCTCCGTGAGCCTGGTCTGGTACGGAAGAAATTCCCCCTACTCTTCTAGAACTCATCTGGTGTCGAGTGTATCAGGTAGTGTTGGATGGGCAAGAGATCTTCTGGGAGCCAGGGGAGAGAGAGACAGCTTGGTTATGGACAGAGCTCTAGAGCGACAGCTACACCCGTCTTGAATGGAGAGGTACCTGCCGGACACTCCAGGAAGCCTGAAATACAGGGATGCCTATGACCCACAGAAAGCCACACCAACCACCGGTCCCCTTCCCAGTCTACAGAGCAAATGTCAAGTAACTCAGATGGAGAGGGTAGATTTGGTGCTATGACTGCACCGGAGGTGGCTGCTGATGGTGACAAAGACAGCCTGGAAGCAGGAAGGCTGGGCCCTGGAATCACAGGTGTTAGGAAATGGTCAGCTTGGAGACCATCTGATCCAGCCCCTCCATTTACAGATGAGGAAACCAAGGCCCAGAGAGTGGAAGGCACTGTCATACGGCCACATAACCTTATCTGGAGCTCTTCTCCAAAGGCTGTTTCAGGGTTGCTGCTTGTTTCCAGGATCCAGCAGCTTGGGCCCCAGGTGCCAAATACAGACACAGCCTCAACCCCATTCTAAGCAACGCTGCGCTCTGCCTGCACCTGCTGTCAGCCCCCCCGTAGACAGCCAGACGAGTCACCCATCACGTGACCTGGCACAGGGGACTGTGGAAGGCCACAGTGATGGCTCTACGTGTAGCGCCGTGAGGAGGATGAAAGCAGCCTGGCTGGGTGTCAACAAGTGACCGCTGCACCTCAAAGACCACCAGGAGAATGGCCAGCAGCGTCCCCCCTTGGAGGCGCTCCCATACTCACCTTTCTCTTCTATATATCCCCAGCCGGCCACCCAGCAGCTCTGGGAGCCTCTGGGGAGGCCTGCCTTAAAGTGGGGCAGGCAGCCCGGCCCAATGAAGCGCCCACACGAAATGGGAGGGGTGATCTCCACGAGGGCAATGTCATTTCCCTCTGTCGCAGAGTTGTATTTTTCATGAATGATGATTTTCTCCACATATCTCTCTTGCAGAGGCGCCTTTACTGGTTTATTGTTCCCATATGTAATTTCCTTTGCTCCGAAAACCAGTCTCCAGTCATGCACATTACTGTGGGCACAAAGGTAAGCCAGGTCACAACCGGCTGGACAAAAGCCTGGTGACAGCGACCCTCAGGGCCTTCCCCTAGCAAAGGTCTGGACCAGCCCCCGGAGTCTTGCAGCCACTTGGCCCAGAGCCCCAGGGAGACGCTGCACAGCATCCCCGGGGAACGCCCCTCTCTGAGAAGAGCCGTTCTGAAGACCTCCCTCAGTGCATCCCTACACGTACTTTTTGCCGACGAAGCAGTGAGCAGCAGTGAGCACCCATCGTGAATTCAGCAAGCTGCCTCCACATGTGTGGTACCTGTGGCTGTTGTACGTGAAGATCTGGAGGCTGACCATCCAGGGCCAGGCCCCATGCTGTGCAGCCTTCCCGCCGACGATGCGGACACCACCCTGTGGGTTTTGCCTGAACCGTAACCCACAGGGGCCACTGGGGAGAGACCAGAGCACAGTTCAAACCTGGCATGAGCACAGCCTGTCCTTGTAACTCCACAACTGAGGGGAGGCAGGGACATGGGGTTGGGAAAAGTGGGGAAGAGCTTCCGGGTTCTGGGAAAGCAGGGGCAGCCTGCGCTATGTAGGAAGCCGCAGGCTCTAGGAAATGGTTCTGGGGCCACGACTTCTCAGGTCTTGTGGGTGCAGTCACAGATGGAGAAAGAGGAGGCCATAGGAAGCCAGGACAGGCTGCATGGGCCCTGAGGGATGGCCCGTCCCTGGGCAGAACAGGAGGGTAGAGGTGGGGATGCGGGGCCTGGGGACAGAGGGGTGTAATGGCCTGAGGTCCTTATAACCAATCTTGGGTGGGAGACTCAGGGAAGTCAGGTGATGAAGGGGGTCGTTGACAGTGATGGGAGGAGGGATAGCAGCCAGGGGCAGATACTGTGGCCCACAGGTGTAGGGGGCACACTGAGAGCAGTGGAGGTCTAGAGGTGGAGGCTCTGGGAACTGTGTCACGGGTGGGAGGCCACATATAGCTTGGGAGGTGTTGGTATTTCGGGGTACCTTGGAGTGAGAGAGCCTACTGGGGGGTAGGGGTGCAAGCGGTGTGAAGCGATGATATCCTGGGGCTGTTGGGGGCAACCACGGGTTGGGACAGCTGTCTGTGGGGGGATAAGGGCTCCCAAAATCAGGACTTCATGTCTTCAAGACAGTGGGGTCAGTCCCTGGGGGAGTGGGAGAGGCACAAGGAGCCTGAGGTGCTGAGGGGTCCATCTCTGGAGGAAACCACGAAAGCTGAGGGTCTGGGGGCTCCAGGCTGCTGATTCTGGGAGCAGGGGGGGTCCAGGTTAGGGATGCAGCCTCCTTTTCCCTAGCCCTGGACAGAGGGAGTCGGGGTGGTACCTGCTCCTCAGAAGATCCTTCCCCCACCAAGGTGCCCCGACACTTACTCACACGTGGCGTTATCTTTAGCAACCACGGACACTGCCAAGACCAGCAGAATGGCAGTTGGTAGCATCTCAACCATACTCCTGGCACTGCCTGGCCTGCAAGCCTAGTGACCTCACAAAGCTCCGTGGCTGCCTGGCCAATCAGCAGGGGTGACCCCCACCCCACCCCCAGCAGTCAGGCCAGGTAAGAGCCCCTCGCCTTAACTGGTTTGTGCTGAAGAGACTTCTTGACTTCCTGCATAGGCTCCCCCACCACCAGGATGATGGGGGACTCCTGTGCAGCCCCACTCCCTCTGTCCCAAGGCCAGGATCTCCATTCCCAGTAACTCTTGCGAGGTCCCCACATCACCCAAGGCTCTGGCTTTGTGCAGGTTCAGAGTCTGCCTCTCATGCGTGCTGTGACCACTGCAGACTCACAGACTGAGGAGCGGCTCAGCCCTTCAGTGATGAGACGGTGCAACATGTTTGTGGATCAGAGGAGTCAGGGTCAGCAGATTAATTGATCCTTAATTGTTGTTGGGGAAGTTTTCTTTTCCTCTTCCAAGTGAATGCTATCAACACACTTTTCCAAGAGTCATTTTGAATTTTCCTAATTTACAACTGCAAAGCCCACCTTCCTGTCCGTTGCTGAATATCACAAGGTCTCCTATTATCCTGAATGTCTCCAGATCGGCTTTCTGTGACTGAGGTGGAGCAAGGTGTTTTCTCCTATACTTGAATGTCAAGAGTTTTCATACAGCTACCTGAATATCATGAAGCATCATTTTTCCCATCTGATCATCAGGAACTAGCATCTCACCTACCAGAGTGTGACAAATGCTTATTGCAAACACCTGAATGTTAAAACATTTCCCATCGCCTGCAAGTGTCAGGAGGTCACACTCTTACCTGCATGAGGGCAGCCTTACCTCTTCTACCTGAATGTAAGATCTCAACCAGCCCGAGGGTCAATAGGTTGCACATCATCTAAGTGGGTGTCAGAAGGTCCCATGCCTCCAACCTGAGTGTCAGGACATCTCATCTCCTATTCCTGAGTGTTGAGTTTTCAGATTATCAGATGATCTTGATTTATCTATTTTCTCTAACTGAATGTCGTACTTATGACATCCTCAAATGAATGTTCAATAGGTCTCGTATATCTTACCCAGTATCAGGGAGTGATCACCTCCTTCTTTGAAAGAAATAACAACTCTGTTTTTCCACTTCAGTGCCAGAGGCCCTCATCGCCTCCACCTACAGGTTAAGAATTCTCACCTCCACCACCCAAGTGTCACCCTGTCGCACTTTCTCTACCTGAAAATCAAGAGGTCTTACATCTTCCAGCTGAATGTCAAGAGGTTGTATTTTACCTATATGAATGTTCTGAAGTCTCCACCGGTATACCAGAGTGTTGGGAGATCTCATTGCCCCCATCTGGGTGCCAGGGCATGTCCTACCCTCTACTTGAATATAGTCTCATATCCCTGTCTAAATGGCATGGAGCTTTCATCTCCTCTGCTAGAGTATCATGAGATCTCCTCTATTCTGGGTGTCCAAAGTTCTCATCTCAACCCCCTGAGGTCTGGAGGTATTCTCACCTCTTCCTGGTTGTCTGGAGGTCTCATCTCCCTTACCTGAGAGTCATGAAACCTCCTATCTCCTATATGCCCTATCTAAGTCATGACACTTTATCTCCTCCGAGTGTCAGGGGATTTTTCTACCTTTATGTCAGGTAGCCCCACTTCCTCTAGCTGAAGGGCATACAAGTTCTATTTCGTGACTTGAATGTGAATAGGTTTCAGCTGCACTACTGAGTGTTAGCGGACCTCACTTATTTTAACTGAGCATCAAGTTGTGTCTCATAAATAACCAGAAAAAGACTTTGGAAATATGGTTCAAGAAATGGCAAGAAGAATTGAAGAAGTGGGCCCAAGTGCAGAGGCTCATGCCTGTAATCCCAGCACTTTGAGAGGGTGAGGCAGGCAGATCACTTGAGCTCAGGAGCCCCAGACCAGCCTGGGCAACACGGCAAAACCCCGTCTGTACAAAAAATACAAAAATTAGCCAGGTGCAGTGGCACCTGCATCCCAGCTACTCAGGAAGCTGAGGCAGGAGAATCATTTGAACCCAGAAGGCAGAAGTTGCAGTGAGCCGAGATCGCACCATTGCACTCAAGCTTGGGCAATGGGAGTGAAACCCTGTCTCAAAAAAAAAAAAAGAAGAAGATTAAAGTTTTGACTGTTAAAGAAAATATTATTCGGGTGTTTTTAATGGATAGCACCTATTTCTTTACAAATATTTAGGAGGTATCAATAAAAAAGTCTGAAGACCCAATGTCAGTGTCTGGATTCTAGAAGACCATTACAGTTTGACTCCGCAAAGCTTACCCACTTCTGATTCTAGAAGGGGCTGCCAGTCATCGTGCCTGCCCCTGGCTATAGTGATGGTTGCGGGAAAAGTACCTGGCCCGGCCCATTTAATTTTGTCATTAAACTAATGGAAGCAACAAACATCTCAACTCAGAGTGACTTTGTCTGACCTTCTTCATGCTGTTCTAAGAGCGAAGGAGAAATGGGTGACAGGTCTGGGGCCAGAGGGTGGGGTCCCATCCGAGGGCATGGCTCAGGCTGAGGCAGAGTGCTCAGCACAGGGGGCAGGATGGGGGCTCCCCATCTCCCCTCAAACTCCTCCCTGCTCTCTGCTTCCACCCTGACGCCCAGGCACCCCTCCAGCTCATCCCAGCCATTCTCGCTGCTCCTGCTCACCCCAACCACCCGCTGCCTTCGCCAGCCGTGCCCACTTCTGTCCCCATGCCTTATTTACCTGGGCAATCCAACTCCCACCCCAGTTTTTCTCACCCTGATCTCCAATCCCTTCCAGCCCCCAATCCCCTACTTTTCCATTCCTGTCCCCACCACCCTCCGTGAGGAGCAGAAACCTTATCCAACCATCCTCAATGTCCAGCCAGCCAGGAAGGCAAGAAGATCCCAGAGGGAGTAAGAATGGTTGACGCAGTGAAACCTTGAGGGCCGAAAAGGGGTAGGTTTCAGGTCTTCACCCAGGGGAAGCAGGTGCCTCGGGGGTGGTTTAAGCAAGCAGGTGAGGGTCTGGGTGGCGCCATGGAGAAGGACGAAGGCCCTTTGAGGCTATGGTTGATGACAGCTTGAAAACCAGCCTCAGGCTGGGCAAGGTGGCCCACACCTGTCATCGAAGCACTTTGGAAGGCTAAGGAGGGTGGAGTTCTAGACCAGCCTGGGCAGCAAAATGAGGCCCCCATCTCATAAAAAATAAAAAAAAAATTAGTCAGGTGTGATGGCCCACGCTTGCAGTCCCAGCTACTTGGGAGGCTGAGGCAGGAGGATCGCTCAATTCCAGGAGGTTGAGGCTACAGTGAGCCACGATCATGCCCCTGCACTCCAGCCTGGGTGACAGGGTGAGACCTTGTCTCAAAACAAAACAAAAGCAGCCTCCATGTCCTGGCCCTGCCCCAAAGTTGTCCACAGGTCTTGGGAGTGGCTGGGGGGTGCCAGCCCACAGGAAGAGCAGAGGCCACACAATTTCAAATTTTCAACATTTCCTAATCCTCATCTTATTTTCAGATTAGAAACTGAGGCCATCATAAGGAAAGGGCTGCACGGGAAGTCAAGGAGGGGGGCCCTGCAAGGGTCTGAGTGTGGGAGCAGGGGGCCCCTGACTCGCTCTGGGCCTGAGTGTGTGGAATCGGGAGGGTGGGTCTCCCTGGGCTGCACATGGAGCCCTAGGCCTCCATGGGGACTCAGAGTCTGGGGCTAGTGGCACTTCTCCACGGTGCCACCGGCCCCACCCCTGGCTAAGGTTAACCACAGAGCCAAGGTATGCGATTGTCATTCTGTCATATTCACGCGCCTCCTCAACCCAGTGTGTCCAGGCTCTGAAACCACTGCCCCTCCTGTAAGCAACCCTCCCCACCGGGGACGTCACATCTCTGCAGCCCCTGGCCTCAGTGCTGGGTCCTGTGCCCTCTACTTTCTCACGGCTCCCTCTTGATTGCCTTTGCCCACTTGCCTTACTGTTTGCCCTTCAAGACATAGCTCACCACCTCCTTCCACTCAGCGAGGGGTCTCTGTCCCTCCTGTTGGCTGGCCACCCCCACCAGGTGCCACCCAGGACGTGTCTTTTTTGCCACATTATCGGCTGCTCACATGACTGCCTGTGCGCTCCTGAAGGACAATGTCTTGTCTCTGGTGCTCAGGGTGGGAGCAAAAAGGAAACCTCACATCCAACTGGGCAGACAACCCAAGGTGAGAAGCACCAACTTGCTCTAATTTGAGATAGCACCAGGGCCGTGCAGACGCAGAGCCTAACATCTAACTGGGACTCCAGGGAGGGCGGGTCAGAGAAAACGTCCTGGAAGACAGGATCCGGAGATCAGCCTCCAAGCTATGTATGCTTGATGCAGGCAAACGATGGGTGATCCAGGCAGAAGGAAGAGGGCATGTGTGAGACAGAGCCCTGAAGCGTCATAGCGGCTCAGGGATTGCAGGAGGTGGGGGGAGACTGGCGAGCAGCATGTGTGCATGGGGAGGGAGCAGGGGATGCTGGCAGGGCCACGGCAGCACTGGCTGGGCCGGACTGGCTCACGGGGTCCATCCATCAGCTGCATTTACAGACAGGCTGGTGTTTGTCAGCAGAGGGCAGAAATGGAAACAGAAAACCAGTGAATCAGCAGGGAAGGAGTGAGGGCTAAATCTGGTCTGCAGCCGTGGGGTAGGACAGTTGCGAGAGATGCGAGCGGGTTCCAAGACAGGAGCAGCAGAATTTAAAAGCAACCGGACGCTGGCGGGAGCAAGTCTTAAACCCTAGGCTTAAAACCTGGCAGGGGTCATGGAGGACAAGTGGCCTCCAGCTTAGGAGGTGCTACTCAGTGGGTTGGTGAACAGAGAAAAGCTTTCGGTGCAGAAGGCATGGGCTGAGTTCCAGCAGACTCGGAGAAGATGCTGGAAGATGCCAGGTGCCTAGGCATGGAGGTCAAAGATAGGGATCTAGGAGTCACCCGTGCATGTGGTCCAGGCTGAGGAGGTTTGTGTGGCCGGTATGAGGGACAGACACAAATATCCCCTCAAGCAGGCAACTGAGCCATGGCTTCATTTCTTATAAATTTATTACATAATAATATTATAATAATTATTATCAATAATAATAATATAAGAAACATAGATCTCTGTGGGGCGTATCACAACGTCAGGGTCAGGAGGCCTCAGGACTGGAGCAGGGGGTGAAACCCCCCGGATGGAACTCCATACAAAAGGAGGTGAAGCGGAACTGACCCTGTAAAGTTAAAAACCCAAATTGAACGGAACCAAAACCCACAGGTGAGTGTGAGACCGAGTGTGTATGTGGCAGTCTGTTACAGTGACTGCTGCTGTGTGACCTGGACTGTTGGCGGAAGGATGAGTGGGTGTGACTCTGTGCCCAGGGAGTGGGGCCGGTGGGCCAGGGCGGGGCGGGCAGGCACAGACCGGCGTGCCAGGCCCCTGGGTTGTGAAAACTTCTGTTTTCTTTTTTTTTTTATTTTATTAAAAAAAGCTAGAAATATAAACAGAAACTTGTGAGTGACGTGGATGGAGCTTAGTCCAGACTCCAAACCCTAGGTTTAAAAACGTCCCAGGGCCCCCCACCCCACAGGTCATCGCTGAGTGTGAGGAGTCACAGTGTGGGGGGCTGGGCACCCTCGGGGGTCTTTGACTCTCCCCAGGGCCTGTGGTGAACTGACTCTAGGGGTCCCCCTATGATGCCCTCAGAAGCCCAAGGTGGGGGCGCTGCCTCCAAGGGGCCCTTGGGGCCTCCCCAAGCAGCAGGGATTCACCAGGGAACCCCGCTCAGGCTGGGTGAGGCTCTGGAAGGACAGGCTGGGCAAACAGCTGGACCCAGGGTGCAGGATGGCCTCTGACTTTCTTTGGAAGAGGAGACAGGGTGCTCTCACAGGTACACCCCACGCATGCACACGGTGCACGCCTCCACGGCCCCGCGCTAGTCCAGAGCGGCCCCTGGTGGCCACTCAGTAATCAGGCACACACACGGCTCCCACGTGCTCAGACGCACCCAGTTTCACCCACACACATAAAGGGCAGGACAGGAGACTTTGGGGTCCAAGGCAGGGAGGCTTCTCTGCTGTAGTTGCCCAAGAGCATGGGGACCAAGCTAGCCCCCTCCTTGGGGAGAGACCCTGTGAGGAAGATGGCTGCGGTGGAGCGGCAGGGCCCTGCCCTCATCCCCCCCGGCCGATGGTCTCCCAGGCCGGCTGGTCCCGCGGGTGCACAGCAGGACCCGCGGCCTGCCGCCCCTCCCACCACGAGCAGCACCTGAAGGGTCGGTGGGGCACACTAGAGCTCAGCGAGGCGAGGGGCCGAGCTGGGGCCCCAGGGCGGGCCACTAGGGCCCTGGCCAACCCCAGACCAGCTGGAGCGTCCCCTGCCCCGTTGTGGGGTGGCAGTGGCAGTGAGGGGCCGGAGATGGAAGACTGGGCAGCTGCAGTGGGACCAGTGGAAGTAGAAGGGAGGGGAGAGGAAACTATTACGGACAGAGATATTTGTTCCTTTTCTCGTTCCAAATATAGAGTGGATTAAAATATGCAAAACAGGGGGGCTCCTTGGCCCCCATCGAGAATCCCAATGTCTCCCCCCTCCCCCCGAGTCACCAAGGCGGGTCCTGACCTCGCATGCTGGACTAGGTTCCCCCTCTGGGAGAATGGCCACCAGGAGCTGCGAAGGAGGTGGTCACGCTAGGGCACCCCACCCCCGGCACCTCCCGCCCCAGCCTCCCTGGTCCACGCCCTTCCTGACTGTGCGCTGGGTGGGCTGGGCGGCCGGTGAGGGCACTAAGCAATGTACAGGGCGAGTCTCCGAGCAACAGCAAACAGGACGATTCATGCAACATTCCTGGCCCGGGCGCCGTCGTAAGGGGCAGGCCGAGCCCGCGGCCCGGGGTGGGGGTGGGGGGCCCTGCCGGCAGGGCACGGCCGGGGCGGGAGTGGGGGTGGGGCGTCAGCTGCCGTCCAGCTGCCTGAGCGCGCGCTCGATGTTCATGCGGTGGCCCACGCGCGTGACGCCCAGCTCCACGAAGTCGTCCTTGGTAAGCGCGGGTAGGTGCGCGCCTTCTATCTCATGGTCCTCGAAGCGGTCGCGGTGCTCGCCTAGGTGGATGCTCTCCAGCCAGTCGCCCACGTCGAACTTGCTCCAGAGCTGCAGCGGCTTCTGCTGGAAGGGTCGGCGTGGGCCGGGGGCGCCGGGGCCGGGGCCGGACGCGGGCGAGGGCAGCGGCGACGGCGAGGGGGAGCGACTGCGCGCGCTCACGCTGCGCACCACGAAGCGCACCTCCTTGGGCTCGTGCGGGATGGAGAGGCTGGACGACTTGAGGATGGTGGGGGGCGTGAGGCCGAAGGGCCGCCCTGCGCCCCCCGCGCCCGCCCCCAGCCCCTCCACCCGCTCCAGCGACGCGGGCTTCACCGGGCTCGGGGCGCGTCTCGCCACGGGGTAGCGGCCACTGGGCCTCACCGAGTACGAGGCCCCGCCGCCCGGGCCCCCGGGGCTGCGCTGCGCTGAAATGGAGCTCAGCTCACCGAGGCTGCTGAAGAGCCTGCGGAGGGAGAGGGGTCAGCGCCAGGTGAGGGGCGCACAGCCAAGGGGGGACGGGCGGAGGGGAGCGGGCAGGGTCCAGGAGGAAACGGGCTGGGGCTGCGGCTGGCGGGAGTAGCCCGGCCAGAGGAAGAAATAAAGGGTGGGATCCTACGGTTACCCTGGCCCTTTTCTTTGGCCCCTGGGACCAGAGCCAGCGACTGGCTGGAATATGAGGAATGACTGGTGGCCCCCTCCACTCCATCCAGGCTCCAAGTGCAGCCCAACCAAAGAAAAGACAGCCTCTCATGGCAAAGGGCGGGCTTCTCCCTCCTGCCAGCCTCCGACACCGGCTCTGGGCATGGCGGGATCCACAGATACCCGGGACGCTGAGACTTGGGCAGTACCCTTCACCGCCCACCCCCCACACAGCTCTGCTCTCATGAGAAGACCCAGGGGATCCTGGGCAGGTTCCAGGGACAGCTGAGTCGCGATAAAGGCTGGCAGCAGCACGAGGTTGAACAGGTCCGTGACACAGGAGACAGACACTAGGCAGGGCTCGTACCCGTATGGAGCAGCAGCACATGCAGGGCAGGTGTGAGGCCGTGCACACCCTCAACACAAAGGCAGCCTCCTGCACAGACGGCACACAACAGCAGCAACGGTGCCCACACGCGTTACAGACATGCTGCGGTGGCAGCAGCACACACACGCAGACACGCAACACGCACACATGCACGCACGCACACACACAAGAACCGATGGCAGCTCACTTCCCAGCCTCACCTGACAGGACCCTAGAGCTCTAGCCCCTCCTTGGCTCTGCCGTGGTGGGAGGCCTACCTGGGGTGATAGCTCCAGAGAAAACCCACTCCCATGTCCTCCCATTCCCATCCCTATCCCCACTGTGTCAGGGGAAGCCTCAAGGGGCTGTCAGTGGCACCAGAGCCTCTCACAGCCACGCAGAGCAGAGACCCAGGCAGACAGGCACAGCGTGTGGACGGCAAGAGGCATGGGATGGGCATGCTCACTTACACAGCCGGCGCTCGGGACCACGGCGCAGCTCGACAGAGCAGCCACATGCAGATGGGCAGGAGAGAGCAATGAGAGAGAGAGTTAGCCGGCCAGGCCCACGCGACCCACAGCTGCAACCACACAATGGGCAGCCAGGTGTGGAGGGAGGAACTCAGGTGCAGAGGGCCCAGCTGCTGTGGGAGGGACAAAGCTGGAGCTGCTGGTGGAGGAGAGGCGCCTGTGCGAGAGTCTCCAAGTGCAGGTGAACCACAAGCGTGGCTGCAGTGCTCGGCAGGTGCCTGGCCGCCTGGGGGTGCTGAGCCCCTGACATCCTCTTTGGCCGGGCCCCTCTCCAGTGGCCCTCCCACCCCCTCTCCCTGCCCCTGCCCAGGCTGAGTCCCCCCACCCCAACCTCTGTGCTGTCCTCACCACACAGCATCACCAGTCCCTGCCCCATACAGGCATGGGGCTCCCCTTAAAGGCTGTCCTCACCACACAGCATCACCAGTGCCTGCCCCACACACGCATGGGGCTCCCCTTAAAGCAGGTTTCGTCTTTTGTCTCCCACCTGTGAGAGGTCAGCCCTCTGTGGAGATCTGAGCTCTGTCTCTCCCATGGGACCTCATTTCTGTCCTCTCCTCAGCCTCTGTCCCTACTGCCTCCTCCCAGCTGCTCAGATCCAGAGCAGAACTTCCTGAAGAGGCCACACTGTGCCCCCAAACAGAAAGGGGCTTCAAGAACACCTGAGGTGGGCCTCAGCACAGGCACCAACCACCAGAATAAGCTGTCTTTGCTCCCATTGGACCTGGCCTCCATGGATCCACCTGCACAGTGGGCCAAAGTGGGGAGGCAGCCAAGGTTGGGGGGATTCCCAAGGGGAGGTGCCAGGTGGTGTTGGGTCGGGGGGTCCCCTGGGGGTGGGTGCCCAGGTGGTGGTGACTGCTGGAGGGGCTTGCCAGAGGAGACTCCGAGAGAATCACTCAGAGGGACCTGACTGTGGACACCCAGAGAGGGGCAGGACCAGGAATATGCACCTGGCCTCCACCCACCAGCCCCAACAAAGTGGCCCTGGCCTGGGGACCTGTATCACAGGATGGACACCTACCCTGGCCCTGCCCCTGCCCCAAGGCTTAGCTTTCAGTGGAGTTGTGATGGCAGGTGTACCTGGAGTCTCAGGTGTGACTGAAGCACACTGATGAGTTGCAGGACCACAGCAGTGAAGGCAGAGGCACAGGGCAGGCGCGGGCAGCGCAGCCAGGAGGCTCGGCCGGAGCCCAGAGCAGGGTCTGGGCTCCAGGAGGTCCGAGCTGGGCAGAGCAGAGTTGTGCCTGTCTGGGTAGTACTGGCAGGGGCTGAGCTGGAGACCTGGGCAGAGGGCAGGCTGGCTCCAGAGGCACCCACGGAGCCAGGGGCCCGAGGGCAAGAGATGTGAGGAGAGCCATTCACATTGCTCCCGCCTCCCAGAGCATGCTGGAGATGTCAGGAGGCCAAGAGAAAACGCCCAAGGAAGGCTGTGCCTGCCAAAGGCCCCAGGGCACAGGAGGGAGGGGCCTGGGGTCACCCATGGCCCAGGTGTCTGCTTCTCCTCTTTCTCTTGGGGAAGAGGGTACTGCCCACACCATCCCCAGGGCACAAACCCGAGCAGTGTCCATGTCTGACTTCCATGTTTCCATGGCCTCTCTGCACACCCACTGTCACTCTCAGCCGTCTGGCCACCTCCCTGGCCAGGCTCCGGCCGCCAAACAGCCACATCACAGCACCTGCCAGCCTCCCAGAGAGCTTCTGGGCCACCCACCCTCTAACACATGATACTTCACCAGGCACCGTCACCCACGAACACCTCCAGCAGCCACGCTGAAGAGGCTGAGTCCAGATCACACTGAGGCCCCCACGGCCCCACGTCTTTCCACCTACATTTGAATCCTGCACCGTCTCACTGTTTCCCAGTGACTCTCAGCCAGTGAGAGAGGTCTGGCCTTGCCACACCCTCCCCACTCCGCCCTCTGCCCCACAGTTGGCCAGGCGGTCAGCAAGACCCCGCTGCTGACCTGTTCATGTTTCCCTTCGAGACATTCTTTCCCAGGCCTCTTCCTTCCTAGATGGATTTTCGGAGAGCTCCCCTCTTAGTTTGCAGTTTCTCCTGGGCAACATTATCCACTCACACCCTTTGCTATGGCCAGTGTGCCCAGGAATGCTACATGTGAGACCCAGACAGCCTCTGATGAGTCCAACACCTCTACTGGGGTATCCACACATGTCCCTCCATCCCCAACTCAGTGAACGGCACCCTGTCATTGCCACACACAGAGCCTGGGAGCCACCATCAGCTCCTCTTTTTACCCTACAGCCAATGGCTAACTCCTAATATCAACCCAGACCTTCTCTTTACCCCTTGCCATTTCTGGATCCAGACCGTTCATGGTCTCAGGCCCTTCACCCCACTTCTTACCAGTTCTCCTTGCCTCCTGGTACCTAGCACAAAGCCAGGAATACGAGATGCACTAACAAAATGCAAAAATAGTATGTATGACATGTCCCTGCCAGGCGTGCCCAACTCAGTCAGCCCACTAGGGCCAACAGGCAGGAAAATGTCCACACTCGGGCCCGGGATACTGCCTCGGGCCTTCTGCCACTGCACTCACGTGGGGCCGGTCTAGGCCTGTGGCCTTTTGCAAACTAGGGGCCTCATTAAGGGAACTAATTCTCAGAGGAGCACAAAACCAGACATGGGCTCGGAAGCTTCCAGTGCATCCTCTGCGGTAACACGTCTTGCTCCTCGGCACCCCGCCTGTTCCCAGCTCCAGCTCTGATGGGCCCCAGTGTCCTATGACCCCTCCTCTGTACCTCCTTCCTACTCCCCGAACAGGGTTCAGGGATCCTGGGAACACACCTGCCCCAGCTGCATGTGGCCTGCAGGGGCCCCCACTGGCAGGTATGTGACACATTCAGTCTGGGTTTCAAAAGAGCAGGCCCTGCTGGCCTTGGCCCTGCTTACCAGTGTGATCCACCAAGCACACAGTGCTTTGTCCAGAGCCCTGACAAATATATTAGCAGGCAGGGTCTGCAGCAGGCCACCAGGGCAGGGCTTCTTGACCATTTTGAGGAACATGGGTCTTCTGGGAGACCTAGGAACTGACTCTAGCAGGTCTGGAGACCACGGCACACAGTGCCCTCCTCCACACAAGCTTGTCAAAGGCACCAGAAGTACTGCAGCAAAGAACCTCTTTTTGTGTTTCCAAAGCTACTTTGCCATGAACTTTACCTACAAAACCAGATGTGAGAGTCCCATGTAAAGCTAAGTGCCAAGGCAGACGTGAGCCTTACTATGGACCTCAGACCCCACATGGGATTCAGATCCGAGCACGGGGCCTGGAAGACAAATGGAGTTTAGAGCCAGGTGTGAAGCCAGGGTCTCAGAGACAAGTGAGAGCCTCAGACAGATGGGGTGCCTGTGGCCAGTTGTGGGGCTCGGAGTCAGGTCTGAATCATGCCCAAATGTAGCCTCAGAGTCAGGTGTGGGGCCCAGAGACCGAGGAGGGGCTCTGGGCAGATGAATGGTCTGTCCAGCAGAGCTAGACTTGGAGCTGGGAGCACAGAGCAGGTGGACAATCTGGGATCGAGGATTCAAAAGGCCGAAGGTCCTGGACCTTCCAGAGGCAGCATGAGAGTGCCACATCCTCCAGGTTCCCCTGAAAATCAAAGGTGGCCCCAGAGCTCATCATTTTTCCACAGGTTACCGAGCTTTGGTTCCACGACATACAGGACAGCTTAACTTGTCCAGAAAGCTCTCAGGCCACAGAACACCTTGTGGCTAAAGCACATCAGGAATGAGCCATCTCTGGAAAAGGTGGGTGGGCATTCCCTTCCTCATGGTGTCGGTCAGGGAGGAGAAGGATGGGCCTGGGAGACAAACACTGTGGAACACAAGGGGCTGGAGACACAGCTCAGGGTATGGCCCTGAGGGTGACCTAGCGCCTCTGCCACGACTGGCCCTGGGAAGGAAGCAGCCATACCTGGATGTCAGAACCTCCCACACTTTAGACAGTTGCACCAGCAGTTTTATCCCTAAGTGAGCAGTGAGTACCGGACTCCAGCCATTAGGGGCCGCAGGACAAGAGCTGACAACAGCCACGGTGGGCACACAAAGGACCAGATCTGAAACAGGACTGGACTCAGACATCACCAAGTGTCCTGTGCTCCGCTCCGCTGCCTGCAGCCAGAAGCACCGGAAGTTAAGGGCCAGGGTGGGCAGGGGCCCCTCCAGATGGCTGTAGTTCAGCCCAGGTCTGAGGGCGAGAAGGAGCGCAAGAGGGTGAAAGGAAGAGTGAGCTGGAACAGAAGGTAACACAGAGGCAAACTGAGAAGGAAAAGCAGGCCCGGGTAGGCCACTCAGGTGGCACCAGGTGCTACTTATGACAAACATGACCAGTAAACAGCGGGGGTGAGTCTGTGCCATGCACACACCTGCCACTTCTGTGGAGGGGCGTTACTGGGCAAAAGCCCATTGTGTGTCATCAGAAGGGGCTTAACAACAGCGGCCCTGGTTACGGCAGCCAGAGAGCAGGGCTCATGGTCAGGCAGACCACCGTTTTCTGTCTGCAAGGAAGCTCTCTGGTACCTCAGTTTCATTGTCTGGAACATGAGGATTCTGTTAGTGTCCGTCTAACAGAACGGTGTGAAGACAAACTGATACGGCAGGACCGTCTCCAGTGCTGCATCCAACAGGCTTGTTTTCCCACAAAGGACTCTAAGACCTCACCTAGGTGTCGTCAGTGACAGCAAAGACAATGGCAGCTCACACCAGTGAGGGGTCCACAGGCCCCAGCCCTGGGCCTACCAGGTGCTTCACAGGTGATGCCGTGTGCAGCCTCGCGATAGCCTGTGCAGTTGGCTCGCTGTAAATACACTTCACAGGGGAGGGATACAGCACTAAGCTGTGACCTCCTGAGCACCGACATCAGGGCCCTCTGATGGCTCCAAGCCAATGACCGGCAAGGAAGTGAGTTGCTGATGCCAGTAGGGGCCGTGTCACAGAACATTGGTTGCTACAGGCTGTCCAGCATCTACTTACTCAAGGGACAGCACTGGACTTCCATCTGGAGAGCCCCCTCCCCTCAATCTCAGCACCTGCTTGCTAGGTGGGCGGACCCATCCCCCTGGCTCCTGGGAGAACAGAGGACTCAAGCTTGGCCGATGACAGCCCTATGTCCCCAGACCCCAGTGATCAGTCAGGGAAAAG
Source organism: Homo sapiens (assembly GCF_000001405.40). Taxonomy (NCBI): domain Eukaryota; kingdom Metazoa; phylum Chordata; class Mammalia; order Primates; family Hominidae; genus Homo; species Homo sapiens. The sequence continues at coordinate 60,608 of NW_015148969.2, read as the reverse complement.
CAGAGGACCCACATGAACCCAATCAGAGATCAGAATTTTGCAGGAACTACTGAGTAAAAGAACAGACCTCACGTAAGGGTCAGGGCTGCTGGTCTTGTCCTTCCCCATCCCACATCTGAGAAAGAAAAACAAACAGGGTCCTGGTGAAAGCCAGAGCCAAGGGCTAAGAGAACCGTACCCTGATCAAGACAGAATGCTAAAGAGCACCGTGGGAGGATGAACTCAGAGAAGGGGAAGTGCCAGAGGTTCCGGCTGAGGAATCCCCTGACCCTGCCCTGCAACTGCTGCAGCTGCCTCACAGGAGAGGACAGAGCCAATGACGAGACCTGGGCCCACCTGAGCCCGACCATGGGGGATCGACACCTGATGAGTCTGAACGCTGAGTAAGTCCTTCTGTGGGTTTTTGTCCTAAGCCACCTCCCTAGATCTCAAATCACAAAACACAGCATTTGCATTTTGCTTTGTTCTTTCATCCATTTAAGAAATGTTTATTGAGGGCCCGAACCAGGCCAGGCACTGTGCTATGCACTTTTTAAAATGGCTTTGATTTTCATCAAGACCAAGAGGCAGAGAAGAGCGGAGGGAGAAGCAGAGAGGGAAGATGGGGGCTGGTCAGGTGTGGGTCAGGAGACCCCAGCCTCAGGGGTCTGGTCCTGTACAGAGGCCTAGGACCAGGCTGCTCACTCTGATTATAACACCCATTCTACGGGCACCTTCAACACTGCACTGCTGGGAAGAGGGCTTTCCAGTTTGGCTGAGAGTTGGAAAAGGCTAAAAGGGGAGAGGACCCCAGAGCAATTCCCCAGGATGACAGGAGCTGGAGGCAGCATCCCGGGACCTTAGGAGAGGCCTCATGAGCTTCCCAAGCTCCTACCTGTCTTTTGAATCCTGAACTAAAGAAGGTAGAATGGCCAGGCCTTTGTAAGACCTGCAAAGTCCTTAAGTTCTGAACACGTTGCTACGCTGTGAACTCTGTCCTCCAAGGCTGACAGTACGGGGCCCACTAGGTTGGTCTTCCAGGCAGCAAGAAGCAGGAGTCAAGAGGTGGCATCCACATACCACCCCCCCAGACCCAAAGAGGAGAGGGGAGACCTAGGGGCACAGAAGGCAAAAGCAGCTTTAAAAAGGCAGACAAGGGGGCGGGTGGGGGATGACCAGCTCTGCCGCCAGCATCCATGCAGCCCACGGGCCCGAAGGGCTCCTCTTTGGAAGGAGCCTTGGGAGTCGGGTCCTCAAGGAAAGACCTATGGGATCAGCCCAGGGCTCTGGCAGCTGTGACAGCCTCAGCAGCAAGCCAGGCCCCTGCTCAGATCCTTCTGGGCAGGGGCAGGACAGACGGGGAAGTGGTGGGGAGAAGGCAAGAGGGCAGATGGAGTGCAGGGAGATGGCGTGACTTCCATCTATCTTCTTACTGCACTTTAGAAATGACACACGGGAATCCATGTTTAAGGGATTCTAAGGTGGTGCCAAGAGACAAATGTTTCTGGGATGGGAAATAGGGAGTTAGTGGCAGATCCCCCAAAAGAAAAGGAGTCAGTGTGCTCCAAGCCGCCAGAGGAAGCAAGGCAGGAGGCAGCTGTAAGGCAGAGGGTATCAGCCACACTGGGCAGCCACATGGCCACAGAGAGGATGGGAGTAGGGAGGCGTACCTCCAAAGTAAAACACAAAACAACCCTTAATGGTAAAGACAGCCTGTGTCGGGAGGGAGAGAGAGAACTCACAGGAATCCCTGGGGCCAAGAGCCTCCAGGAGGGCCATGGAGGCGCCTCATGCCCAACCTGAGTCTCTGAGGGGAGCCCAGCTCCCACTTCTGGCACCAACAGGGACACAGTGAGCAGCAACCCTGACGTGTCAGACGCCCAGAAGAACCTCCTCTCTCGGGCAGGCCAAGCAAGACCGGATTCAGAGGTGGATGGCGGGGGCGGGTTGGGGGTTGCCACAGAAGGAATGGAACAGAACAAGGAGGAACAGGAGAGCCAGAGAACAGACAAGAGGAATGACAGACGGGGCCACGGACAAGGCACGGATCCCTCCCCGCACCGCCCTGCTCACCGAGCTGCTGCGATGGGCGACTTCTTGGCAGGGTCCAGCAGGCTGCCCAGGCCACCAACTGGTTCCTCCCCCAGGGAACGCGTGTCCTTGTTCAGCTGCTGCAGGCGGGAGCTGAGCTCACTGATCACAGTTGGTTTGTCGTCTTCAGGCCCAGGGAGCCCCCGGCTCTCCACGGGGTCCCCCCATAGCTTGGACCTTCTCTGGAAGAGGTAGCGAGGGCGGGCAGGCCCGGCGGCAGAGGCCAGCCCGGCAGAGGCGGCGTGGTGCTGCTGGGCCATGAGCTCGCTGTCCGAGGACTGCTTCAGCAGCGGGTCCCTGAAGGTCACCGGCCCCTTCCCCAGCGGGGACTTGAGCTTGGGCTTGGGAGGCACTGGTGGCTTCTCGAGTAGAAAAGTGTGTCCGTCAGCGAAGGAGGTGTGGGTGTCAGTGAGTTCCCCGCTCTCCGAGCTCAAGGTGGACATGCTGGACACCGTGGAGATGGTGCTTGTGGTCTCCAGGTGGGGGTCGCTGGAGCTGCGTGTGTCAGCCTCCTCCACCCCAGAGTCGGCTGCAGACTCAGGGGCAGGGGGTGGCTCACTGCTGGGCTTCCCTGAGGCCGGGCTGGGCACCGTGGTGGGCGAGGGGCCCGGGCCAGCGAGTGGGGTGGCCAGCAGGACCCCGTTGGCAAACTCTTCAGGGGGTGGCACCAACCCAATTCGGGCCAGCTCCTCCCTGGTCTCCTCATCGCTGGACGACAGCTGGGCAGGTGGCAGGTTCACAGCAAACACCAGCTCTGGCTCTTCCTCTGAGCTGCCCTGGCCTGGCCCGGCGTCTGCCGGGGTGCCACCAGGGGGCTGGGCCCGGGGGCTGGGCAGGGGCTCTGCCACAGCCGCTGACTGCATGGGGGCCGGGGCCAACTCCGGGGTGCCCGGGCGCTCCTCTTCGGCCCCCCCCAGCCTGCTGGGCTCCTGCCCGTTGCTGGTGGCGTGCACAACGATGAGGCCAGCTGGCCGCTGCAGGGATGTGTCCAGGACGCTGAGGATCATGGACTTCTTGTCCTCGGGTGACTTCCGCTCCTCCCGGGGGACCTTCTCTGCCTCCCTGCGAGCAGGCACAGGAATCCAGGCTGGGCTCCGTGGGGAGAAAGCCGGGGAAGCCAGGGACCCTCGCTCTGGGTCCCGGGCCTGTACATCCACAAACAGGGGTCCGGGGCGGTCGGCGTCGGGACTGTGCACGGGTGTGGGGGACCGGGAGGGCGCCTGGGAGGCCAGAGCTCGCTCTCGGGCAGCCAGGGCAAGGGCCAGGGGTGAGCTGGGGTCCAGGGGTTTGCCGGTGAGTGGGTGGATGAAGGTGGAACCCGAGGGCCCCAGGCTCGGGCCGCTGACCAACGGCTTCAGGGCAGACACCGGGGAGGGCAGCAGCAGGTCGCGGCCGGCGGTGGGGCCGGTCCCCAGGAGGCGCTCGTCGATGGAGCGGGAGGGCTGTAGGGATGGCAGATCCGCGCCGGGGGCGCTGCCCTCGATGGCCCCCACGGACAGGAACACAGTGGAGCGGCGCCGCTCCTCCAGCCGCCGGTCCTTGGCCGGGCCCGGGCCGCCGAACGCGAGCCCCGGGCCATCGCCCGCGCCGTAGTCGAGGCCACCCGGGCGCGGACCGCGGTGGGTCGGGGAGGGCTCGCGGGCGAAGCTGCCGCCGCCGGGACCGGGGCTGCCCACGGCCAGGGCCGCGCGCTCCTGCGCGTCCTCCACCTGCAGCTGCTTCACCAGGGGGCTCTTGCGGCGCTGCGGCTTGGACGGAGCGAAGAGGCTGGCGCTGAAGGCGCCCAGGTTGGCGTAGGGGCTGTCGGGGCCGGGCGGCCGCGGCCGGCGCTTGGGTCGCTCGGGCGGGGTGGCCGCGGGCGGGGGTCGAGGGGCGTCGCCCGACTCGGGCGCCGAGTCCTGCAGGATGATCATGGAGCGCGCGCGCTTCTGCCGCTCGGGATACGGCAGCGGGCCGAGGGCCGCGCCCGGCTCGTACAGGCCGGCAGCGCCCGCGCCCAGGCGCGCCTCCAGGCCGGGCTTGAAGCTGGAGCGCACCGTGTCGTAGGCGCGGCCCGGCGGGGGCGGCGGCGAGAAGGCCGGGGGCGGCCCCGAGTCGAAGTAGTAGGGCGCGGGCGGGGGAGGCGGCGCGGTCTGCGGCGGGGGCGGGATGCCGCGACCCTCGCGCACCGGGTCTTGCATCGAGGTGCTCCGCGGGAAGCGCCCTTCCAGCAGGGACGCCAGCTTCTCGTCCTCCCCTGCGGACGGAAGGGCCGGTGAGACCAGCCAGGGCGCTGGGCGGGGGGTGGTGCTGCCTTCGGAGAGGTTCCTGGGGACCCCGGCAACCCCCTCCCACAGAGGCCAGCCTTGCCCCGACTCCACCCCGGGGAAGCCACCGTCCGGACACAATGGACGCCCGCGGCAGAACCCGGCGCGAGGAGCTAGAATGCTCGGGAAGATGGGGTTGGGACCCGTGGTGGGCGGGGAATGGAGGGCAGGGGAGAAACAGGGAGCCCAGAGCCCGGGCTCCGAGCAAGACCCTGGTCTGGGCTGGTCCCTGGATGCCCAAGCTCTGTGCCCCAGGCCCAGGGCTGCACGGGGAGGGCTCTTGTGAAGAGGACAGGAGAGAGGTGTGCGTTCAGTTACAGGATGGAGGAGGGCCCCACCGGGGACCCCTGAGAAAGGACACAAACTCTGACGGCCTGGGTTGGGGCCAAGACCTGCCCAAACCCAGGGTCATCAAGCAGGCCCTGAGAAGGTATCCCAGAAAGGCAGGGACAGCCCCGCAAGACATGGGGACAGAACTGCTGAGGGGCTTGGAGGGGCCAGTACAGGGCTCCCCACCCCAGAATGAACAAGGCCGACGCAGAAGTACCAGCCCTGGAGGCAACCAGAGGTGAGAGGAAGATAGTCGGAAATGAGCAGGAGTGACACACTGGCAGGGTGAGGGGCAGCAGGGCTGTGGCCACTGGAGCCAGGCCTCCAGCAGAGAAAGACCTAATGCCCACCCAGGTAAGGAGGTGCCCTGTGGAGGAAGCCTTGAGAGGCTCCTCCCAGAGACCCGCATGGGTGAGTGGGTGAAGGGAAGAACGGACGGATCAATCAAAATGGAACTGCAGGCTGAGCACCCAGCATGTTTCATTTTAACCCCTACTGGCAGCGTGACCCCAGGCCAGGCCCTGAGCCCCTTTGAGCTTCAGTAACCCCCCTCTGCATGCCTTGCTCAGACATCATTGTTAGGGTCCTGTGCAGGGGCTGGAGTGCTCAGGGCCCTCATGCTCCTGCTGTCCAGCAGAACCTGACACAACCTCCTGAACACCCCTGTGGACATCATGATGCGGACACACGTGCTGCAGGTGTGTTCAGTGAGGCTGCAGGGGGCGGACAGCCCCACACCCACACACCCAGGTCTCGTGGTGCTCCTGTTCCCAGCCTCACTCTGAGATTGGTCAACATTTTTATGAACTCGCTAAAATACAGACTGCCTGTTCCTGATCGCATCCTCCTCCAGCCACCGCAGTGCTAATGAGGCCTCCAGTACTACACTGCTTCTTGCTGGGCATAATATCTCTTTGTAGCCAAGGTACCAAGGGTGGGCTTTTGTGTACAGACCTAGGCTTGAATTTTAGATCTGCCAGGAACTTCAGAAGCCTCTAGGAACTTCAGTTTCCTCATGTCAAGAGGACAGCCTGCAACTATTGTGGGGCGATTTCACCTTTACAGTGCAGGGCTGAACTGCAGCAGTATCCTGGGAATGGGGGAAGGGGGCCGAGGTCATCATCATCGTGATTTTTAGGTCTGCCTTCCCCCCATCCCCAACCGCTGGACAGAGAAATTGTGCCCAGTTCGTCCTGGGTCTCCTGCTGCATTCCCTGCACTGTGTATGAACACGCAGTGAACACCCACAGCCTATGTGTTAGATGGAGCGACGCAGAACGAGCGCACCTTGAGGATGCAGAAGGCGGGAGTGACGTGCAAAGATGAAATAAGGGGAAACTTAATGCTAATAGCATGCCAAGTTCTGACTTAGGGTAAAGAAAAGTCACTTGCCTCAGCATGGAATGGGGAATCTGTTCTGATACCATCTGGGGCGGGGGTGGGACCCCTTGGGGGCAGAGGCAGACCCTCTTTGTCTGCTTAGGTCATAGCAGAGAGCATTTCTCGAGCACCCACTGTGTGCCAACCTCAAGAGGCAGCATCTACGTCTACTAACACTGGCAGCTGCTGAGCACTCCCAGCATGCCACGCGGTCTGTGAGTGCCATCTACCGGGGGAGACTCAGAGTGGTCCTTGGAGGTGGGTAATAGGTGGTCTCCATGTTTATGGATCAAAATCCTGATGTTTCAAGGGCTGCATCGTGTGCCCAGAGCAACAGAGCCAGGGCATGGGGCAGGGGCCTGGGGAGTCTGACAACCCAACCAATGTGCATGCTGGCAGCTGAGGCCCAGCAGGCCAAGAGGAGCCAAAAAGGAGCACCTGTCCACCCATCCATCAACCGAGTACAAGAGGGTGCCTGAGGGACCAGTGCAGAACTGGCAGTCCTAGGAGAGTGGCTCAAGGCCTGCAGGGCAGGTGCATGGACCTAGACCTGCAGGGTCGGGCCCAGGAACAGCAAGAGTCAGAAGACCCAGGTCAAGGGAGGCAGAGACAAATGTTTCCAGATGAAGCAGGAGAGCACTGGGGCCGATCTCCAGGGCCCTGAGGCAATGAGGAGTGCACAGAGGGTCAAGCTGGACGGATATGGGGTGATAGCAGCTCTGCGGAAAGCCTGATTTGGCCAGAGGGATGGACTAGAGGGCAGAGCCAGGGCAGGCAGTCATGAGAACAAAGCCATGGTCCAGCTGCAAGGTGATGAGACCTGTGCAGGGCAGGGCTGTGAGGCCACCCACCCCGACACATCAGGTGAGGCAGAGGATAAGAAAGAAACCATGGAAGACACTCAGTGTTTAGGCCAGGGAGAGCAGGGGAGAGCGCTTCTCAGCTCCAAAGTAGCTGCAGCCTCACCAGCCTTCTTCCCCACAATCCCACCTACAGAAATAACTCTTGGCAGTCTCTGAGGGACCAGGTCACACACCCATATGCCTTTTCCACACTGCTCTGTCAGTTCACCCCATTATCGCCCAGAAACTCCCATTTGTCTTGCACATCTTAGCTCAAAAGTACCCCCACCCCGACACACACAGCCTTCTGTGACACCAGGTGTGCTTGGAGCCCCCCAGTGGGCTCCATTGGTCCGTGAGCCCTGGCACCCACAATGTGCCCGCTGAGCTCTCTGCACACGTCACATTCCCTAACCAAGCCCCAGACTTGGCCCAGGATCGGCCTTGTGTGAACACAAATTGGCAGGGTCCTGAGGCAGGTGAGGAATCCGAGTTTGGGCAGCTGTGTGATCTTGGGCAGGTCATTTACCCTCCTTGCTTCAGTTTTCTCATCTGTAAAATGGAGGTACTAGTGGTCTCAACCTCAATATGGTTATTCTAAGTATTAAATGCTCAGTGTCCAGCCCGTAGTAAGTGCTGAGAGGTTTACTCCTATGTGTAACAGATGGGAGGTGTGCTGGGGTTTGTATGGACAACGGACGGTCAAGTGGGCAGGTGTGTGGGTGGACAGATGCACAGGTGGGCAGGGGACGGGAGAGTGGATGTCTGGAGGGATGCACAGTGGGCAGGGCTTGTTACATGTCCCCATCTGGGTCAGGAAAGGAGACGGTGAGTGTGGGGTGTGATGGTGGCTGGGGAGTGGTGAGGCACAGAGGGGAAGGAGGCTGAAGACACAGCCTTGAAAAGGTCCCATATTTGGGAGGCTGGGGCGGCAGGGTTGAAATAGGTGCCATCTGAGAAAGGAGGGGAAAACCAGTAAGTGTTGTCCTAAAGCTTTGGGGAGGAGCGTTTCACGGAAGAAGGAGCAAAGAAACCAAATGCCAGCTGAGGTCAGCAGGAGTGCTGGCCATGCATCCATGGGGAGGAAGGCCCTGGAGGCCGCCGGTGACCCTGGTGGGAGCAGTTTCAATTTGGGTATGGAGAGAGGAAGTCTGCCGCAGGCTGAGGAGCCGGTGGGGGACGGGAGACAAGATGGACAGTAGAGGTGACTTTTTGGGGAAAACTGGCTGTGAAGGGGGGAGACAGCAATACATGGAGAAGTAGGGGAGAGGCAAGTTCAGGGGGTTTGAGGGTCAGAAACTTCACATGCACTTGGGCTGCAAGGGAGCAACCGCGATGGAGGCAGCTGAGCTGGGGACAGGGATGAGGCTGCCCATGGGAAGGATGAGAGGTGATGGGGAGGTGGGGGTGCCCAGTGGACAGGGAGTGGCAGCTGGGGACAGGGATGAGGCTGCCCATGGGAGGGATGAGGCGATGGGGGGCGGTGCCCACTGGACAGGGAGTGTCGGCTGCCGGGGGAAAGCTCTGGGTTGGGGAAGGCCTAATCCCCACATGTCCATCAACGTATGAGATCCTTTAGCTGGGGCCAGGAAGAGACAGGACTGAGAGGGAAACTGGAAACCCCAGTTATGGGCAGAGAGAGGCAGTGTCCTTCAAACCCAAGTCCACCCTGCCGGCCCCAGCCCCGTTCCTCCCCACCCCATGCAGCCCCACAGCGCAGCCATACCTACAGACTTGGTCCGTGGAATCCCCTTCCGCAAGGAGCCCGGCAGCTTCTCTGGGCCTGGGAGGCCCTGGCGTTCAAACAATGACTGTGGGGGTCAGGGAGGGGAATATGGAGGTTCCAGGGCACTGGGGGCCCCCAGTCCTCCTCCTAAGCCAGAGGTGAGACACCCCACGCTCTCACTCCAATGGCACTAGTGCCTGTGGGTGCCTGGACCCAGGAATCACGTCTGGACTCTGCCCTCAGGGAGCAGAGGATGCAGCCCATTGGAGCCTGGGCTGTGTGGGCAGTGCAGATGGTGGTACAGTGTAGACGGTGTTGGGCAGGGTGGGTGCAGACCCTGGCCGACCCTGGGTGAGGGTGGGGGAGGAGCCTAGAAGGCGCCGGGTTGGCAAGTGGGCAGGGAACAGAGACATGCTTTGTCGTGTTCTCAGCGGAGCTGGGGTACCTTGGTGGTCTCAGGCGTGAGACAGGGACTGCCTGAAGGCAGAGGCACCAAAAGCTACAAGAGCAAACCCAGCAGGTGCTGAGCTGTGGCCATTTAGGGGGCAGAGACAGCCCCAAGAGTCTCTGAGAGAGGCCATGGGGTGCACACACCCCTCTGGAGAGGGGTCCACATGATAGGCTCTCACCTCCGTCAAGAGGGCCCAGGACAGTCTGACCCCCATGCCTGCCCGACCCAGCGCTCCCAGCCGCCCGTGGCCCTTACGCTAATCTCGGCGGGTGTGATCCTCCGACTGGTGGGCCTCTGTTTGACGGTGGCGGCTCTGGAGTCTGCGTCTGCGATGTCTGGCCGCAGCGTTGGCTCTGCGGCGGCTGCCAGCATCTCGTCCAGCTTCTCTGCACAGCAAGGAGGCTCCATCTCAGCTGCCTGGGCCACCTCCTGCCCCACTGCCATGTCCTCCCCAACCCGGCCACCCGTGATGCTGACAGAGGCCACCGCTCCCCTCCCTCCTTGAGCTCCCACCCCAGGCTCCCAAGACAAGGCCCTCACCCCAGAACTCAGACCCCACCCCAGGCAGCCTCTCTAGCCTCAAGGAGACTCCAGGTGACCCTGTGGACCTCACTTAAGGAAAGGCCACTCTGACCATGAGGGAGAAGACCAGGGCACAGGACAGACAAACGATTCAGAGACCACAGTCTCCCTGGATTTCCCTCCATTTCCCTTCGTCCTGTCACTGTTCTCAGCACATACAGGCCACTCTTGGCTATCTGTACCGCACTGGAAGGGAAGCTGTTCACAGCGGGTCACAGCCCGAGGACAGACCCTGATGTACAAGCAGGTTTCCACAGAAGATCAAAGTGACTTGGAAACTGTTAAACTAATACGTGTATCTCAGGACCATCAGAGCCCTGGTTGGATGGCTCCCCCAGGACATAAGCAGCTCTCGCCCCCTGTGGGTCCACTGAGGACCAGTGCGTGGAGCATGCAGCAAGGGCTGGGGCAGCACTCATGTCCACCTGGCTGCTGCACCGGCCCTCTCATTCAGCAGCCCCACTGCACCCCACCCATCACTCAGGCTGCACCCAACCCCAAGCCCTTCTCCACTCTTTGGGGCTATGCCAACCCTAGAGGGACCACTGTCTGGCCACACTTGTCTTGGCACCTTTCACTCTTGTCTTGGCCCCTCGTTGGAGAATTTCAACGGTCAGACTGGACACCTCCTACTCCTTCCAACTCCAATCTGCAGCTGTTCACAGCACCTGCTGATTCTACCTCTGCAATCTGCTTAGCATTGCTGGAAGGAAGGAAGGAACTCCCCAAGCTTAGCATTGCTGGAAGGAAGGAACTCCCCAAGACTGTCCTGTACCCAACCCAGACCAGACCCACCCTGTACACTGACTCTGTCCTGACATAACCTCTTTGTGACCTCTGTGTCCTCATTGATAAAACAGGCATAAAAACAGTGCTCGCTCACGTGTCTCTAGTGAGAATTAGCACAGAAGAAAGGCTTACAACTGTGCTGGCACTGGACACAATTCAGTACAATTCATGTCTGTGTGCCCCATCTCCCCAGACAGCTTCCGGGTCTGCAGAACAGAGCAAATACTGTTCTCTGTGTTCCATCAGCGCCCAGCCTGTGTCCTGAACGATACAAGAGTTTACCAGCAAAACAGGCTCCAACTGCAGATATCTGGGCCTGTGCACAGCTCCCAGTGCCACCAGGTGACAGGGGCCCAGGTACAGACCAGGGGCTGCTGGTTTGAGGGGACTTCTCATTTGCTTTTGTCATGAAGTGAATGATTTCTTTTTGGGAGTTGAAGTCACCATTGCCACCATCTGTTAAGTTCTTGGTGATTTCTAGAGTATGCGGGACTTTATGCAAACCACTCCTCTCATCCCACAACTACACGAGGATTTTATCATCACCCTTATCCAACCCAGGAGCAAACTGAAGCGAAATTGCCATAAATCTCTGACTAGGAAGTAAGAGATGAGACTTAAGCACCATACTCCCCGGAAACTGCAGAAGTAAAGATATGAATGGAGAGAAAACTCCGTGAGGCACACACGGCTCAGCATCATGGGAGACACGTTGCCGCCTGAGCCACGGGCTAGGAGAGGCTGTCTCTCTAGGTCTGGAAGACCCATCCCAGAGACCCACAGCGGGACGCACATAACGTTTAGTGAGCAGCTGTTTCTGGTCATCCGGCGATGGTGCTGGAGCCGGGTGAGAAGTGTTTTCAAAAGGGAAAGGATTCATCAAGAATTCTGCAAATTACAAACTGATGAGGTTGACATAAATCTCCCCCCAATATTAGAGGATATATTCTTAAATAAATAATTTTAGATAATTAAGGGAAACAAAGCCCATCAGGAACCAAGTGGACCCGCTCACTCCCAGGGCCCTCTGGGTGCACAGCAGGACACAGCTGGGTTTGCAGCTGTTTGATCAACAGGGCCCCAGCCTGCGGGATGATCAACCAGCCATCACTTCTTCCACAACTGGAGCAGCACCTGGGCTGCAACACAGCACCCTGGGAGCCCCACTAACGAGCTAGAGGGCAGAGCCAGAAGATTCCAGAAATAGCTTGTATGTCTGCCCCAAAGGCATGCAGAAAAGGTCACTGGAGGAGACCTTGTCACCTGTTTTTAATACCTGAGAAGACACTGGGGAAGCCCTTCACCTGGGCTGGGGCAAGAGGCAGCAAGGGGACCTCAAGAGGGCTGGGCCAAGGGCCTGGCAGATGTGTCCTCACCCAGGGAAAGCCCAGTGGGTCGAGAGAGAGGGAGGGATGGGCATCAGGTACACGGACGTGGAGCAAATATACAGGCCTGGGTGGAGAAAGCCACCTCAAGCCTCTGTCTGGGCCCTGATTCCCATCCACCCGAGAGGCAGAGGAGGCTGCCGGAAGCCGGGTCCCAGGACTTCACCAGACAGTGGACCTCAGTACCCAGGCCCAGGTGACTGTCCCCACCTGAATGCGCCCTCCCCTGCAACCAGGCTGAACATAAAGGACATACAGGGAGCAGCCCCAAAGGGTAGAGGGAGGCCTGAACGGGGGTTCAGGAGGGTAGTCAACAGCCTGGGGTCTTTGGCCAGGGGAGCTCCAAGCTCCTTCCCCAGTGCTGTGGGACTCAGACCCCTGCTCTGAAGGGACCATCAGCTCTGGGCTTGGCCCTACAACCAACCAGCACGGGAGTAGGTCCCACAACCCAAGCACAGGCCCCGAGAGGACCAGCAGAAAGAAGCAACGTGCACGCCAACACGGCCCAGTCTCCCTGCTCCCTAGAGCTCCCCCTCTGGGACCCTCGGAGCCCTTTCCCTCCTGCTGTCCGGGCCATGGTGCATGCAGTGGCCTCCACGGGGCTCTCCCAGCTCCTCCCCACGGGCTGCCTCCATCAGGCTATCTGCACAGCTCACAGGCCCCAGGCTCACCTGAGCCCCCAAGGCCATCACAGTCTCAGAGGGTCACACCCCTGGGAACTCCCCATCCATCCTTGCAGGCCCTTCTCTCATGCCCCTACCAGATGCCCAGGGAGAAGGCCAACAGGAGGGTGCAGCCCAGGCTTCCGGGCCACCCTGACTTGCGCTGGAACCTCCTCACACACCAGCACTCCCCCAGACAGGGGTCAGGCAAAGCCAAGGCCCTGGGGACACAGGCAGATGACTCACCCCCTTTTCTTCTCCGAATGGAGGCTTGGAATCAAGAAACAGAGTAAAGGGAGTAAGAGGCAGGCTCGGCACCCGGGCCCCATTATCCACACTCATTTCCCCACCCCATCCCTCTCACCACCACCTCCCCCAAAAACCATGACCTCCCAAATCTGCCCCCAGCCTACACCTCTTTATCAGACCGTGAATAGCAAATCTGCCCAACTCTGGAGTCAGTTGGTACATGCCTTGAAAGCCAAGGAGGAAACAACCACAAGCAGGGACTTGTGTGTGTGTGCCACATGCATGCAGGTGCACACAGCGCATGTCCACTCACCCACGCACAGACATGTGTGCTGCATGCACGCAGGGGCACACAGCGCGTATCCGCTCACCCACGCACACACGTGTGCCACACGCATGCAGGCGCACACTGCATATCCGCTCACCCACGCACAGACGTGTGCCACACGCATGCAGGCGCACACAGCGCGTATCCGCTCACCCACGCACAGACGTGTGCTGCATGCACGCAGGTGCATACAGCGCGTATCCGCTCACCCACGCACACACGTGTGCCACACGCATGCAGGTGCACACAGCGCGTCTGCTCACCCACGCACAGACATGTGTGCCACACGCATGCAGGCGCACACAGTGCGTATCCGCTCACCCATGCACACACGTGTGCCACACGCATGCAGGTGCACACAGCACGTGTCCACTCACCCACGCACAGACATGTGTGCCGCATGCACGCAGGTGCACACAGCGCGTGTCCGCTCACCAACGCACAGACACGCACACACACACAGATATGCACAACTCCATCATGCTTGGCTCAGTCAAACGTTTGTTCAGAAAAAAGGCAAAACCCCATAGAAAACAAGTTCAGGTGTCGCTGAAAATTAAGGTGGTCACCTCTGTGTTCTGTTCAAAGTCGGTCTTAAAAGGCAGGGCAAGTGTGTTTGGCACAGAAACCTTTTCCAGGACAAGGCCACTCACATAGATGCTGGGTGTGGCACCTACCCTGATGTTCTCATCACAAAAGAAAAAGGGGCCCAGAAATTACAGGGAAGTCCAGAGTTCTCCTGGGAACGTGAATACACAGGAAGGGCTTGGACCCGCCACAGGGCCTTCCCTGGCCTGGGTCTCCACTGACCTGTGGCCCCAGCACATTCCTGGTACAAACCGAGCAGACATGCATGTGGCGACCATGAGGAGCCCCCAGTGCTGAGGGGAGGAGGGGTGTTCTGCCCTCTTCTCTCTCTCACCACCTATCTCAGGAGGGTCCCCACCCAGCCCCTTCCTCTCACTCCCAGCTCTGCAACCCTCCATTTTCCAGGCACCAGCCTTTGCTCACCCCATTCCCCCACAGGATACCCCTTCCCTCCCCTTCCTCCAACAGGGCCATGCCTCTCCCACATCCTCCGAGCAGCAAACAGCCACCTGGACAGGAGCCTCCGACTTGCACCTGCTTTCTCTGACACCTCACTTTCTTTTCTTTTTAGGTGTCCAGGCACCTTCTCGATAGACTATGGATCCTAAAGGGCTCTAATAGCTCTTGACAGTGTGAGGCAGTTCTGATGTGTTCATGCCAGCAGTGACCAACAGGCCTCATTTCTATCTTCTGAAAGCAAAAACACTGGGTTGTGGGATGGTCTCTTAGGTACCTGGGGAAACCCTGATGCTGGCATGGCGTCCTCAAATCAGGCATTTCCAGAGGGGACTTCCAGAAGCCCTGCTGGCTTCCCAGGACAGCTGTCTTCTGGGGACAGGGTGGCTTCCTGAGCTCCAGAAGTGTGGGTAGAGGCTCTGCGCTAAGCTGTCCCTTCATCCTCCCCCAGACTCTGCTCAGAAAAAAGCCTGGAAAATTATGGTGGCCTGAAGCTGTGAGCAACTCCTCTGGAAGACCGGGCTCTGCAAAGTGACTCCAGCAACCTGTCCTGAGGCTTGTTGCAGAAGAGGGAACACTCAGCCCAGAGGGGAGGGAAAGGAGCGTCTTCATTCACCAGTTTCTTCAGGCAGAAAAGCCCAGAGAGCAAAGCGCAGTCCTTCCGTTTCCATAGGGCAGAGTCCCTGGGTCCCAGGATTACGGATCTCAGGCTGCCCAAAAGCCCCGTGGTGCTGAATAGAAGAGTCCCTTCTGAACATGCAGCTGACTGTGGCTATGTGACAGCCTCTGGCAGGAGAATCCTGGGACCCAGCTGCCTACTGGTGCTGGCTTATTGATCAGTTTGGATCTTCAATTGACAGGTCAGCTCCCCGTGACTGACCTTGGACCCTCATGACCCGAGTGCCAGAGGTCTAGGATTAGCCTCTCTGCCTCACTCCTGAATGAGCAGGATTAGCGGGGTATAGAATTCTAGGTGGAAAAGAATTTTGACTCCACACTTTGAAGCTCTTCTTCCATCATCTACTGTCATCTGCCACTGCTGATGAGAAGTCTGTTGTCAGTTGGACCACTGCTCCCGTCTAAGACATCCAGCAGCCCATCTCTCTCTCTCTCTCATCATTTTTTGCTTTGTTTTGTTTTGAGACAGGGTCTCGCTCTGTTGCCCAGGCTGGAGTGCACTGGCATGATCTTGGCTCACTGCAACCTCCACGTCCCAGGCTTAAGCAATCCTCCCACCTCAGCCTCCTGAGTAGCTGGGACCACAGGCACACACCACCATGCCAGGATAATTTTTGTATTTTTAGTAGAGATAGGGTTTCGCCATGTTCCCCAGGCTGGTCTCAAACTCCTAGACTCAAGTGATCCACCTGTCTTGGCCTCCCAGAGTGCTGAGAGTACAGGCATGAGCCACCGCACCCAGCCTCTCTCATTGTTTTAAAGATTTCTGCTTGCTCACAGCATTCTACAGTTTTACTATGAAAGATGTGGATACAGATTTGTTTTTATTTCCTTGCTGAGACTTATATTTCTTTAAACTGAAGACTCATGTCTTTGTTCAACTTTCGGAAATTCTTAAGCCATCTCATCTCCAAATATTGCCTCCAGGCAACATTTTATTTTTGCTTCCACGCCTTGCATTAGGTAGATGCTGGGATTTTCCCAATAGTCCCATTGAACTATCTATGTGATTTTTGTGTGTGTGTGTCCTAACTGCTCTTTGATATTTTCTATCTCCTTATATTTCTGTGCTATATTCTGGGTAACCTCAGATTTATCTTCTAACTTGCTGTTTCTTTCTTCACCTGGGTCTAGTGTACTGTTTATCCCAGGCATGGCTTTCTTTTTTATCTCAGTGACTACACTTTTTGTTTCAATAACAGTTCTTTAAGAATCCTTCTGGCTGGGCGCAGTGGCTCACGCCTGTAATCCCAGCACTTTGGGAGGCTGAGATGGGTGAATCACAAGGTCAGCAGTTCGAGACCAGCCTGGCCAACATGGTGAAACCCCATCTCTACTAAAAATACAAAAAATTAGCTGGGTGTGGTGTTGTGCGCCTGTAATCCCAGCTACTCAGGAGGCTGAGCCAAGAGAATCACTTGAACCCGGGAGGCGGAGGATGCAGTGAGCCGAGATCGCGCCACTGCACTCCAGCTGGTAATAGAACGAGACTCAGTCTAAAAAAAAAAAAAAAAAAAAAGAATCATTCTAAAATGTGCTTATTCTTTTTTTGCTTGTTTGTTCTGTCCTATTCTCTCATTAGTTCTGTTAGTTCTTTTAATCTTTGTGACAATTTACTTTATTTTAATGTTTTTCATATTCTTCTCTGATTTCCAGTTCTTTCGAAGCTAATTCCAGTGGTTGGGCTTGGTTTTTAACCTTCCCGCTTCTCACAGGTCCAGCCACGTCTCCCAGCCTTGTGGGGGCCTCAGGACCCCAACCCCTTGCCCCTGCGTACTAGATAACGAGCTATGGAAGCCTCTGGCTTTGGTTTCTCTCCTTTTCATTCTGAATTATCTACATGGGGTTTTTTGTTTTTTTCTTTGGGTTTTATCTTATTTGGAATAGCTATGGTGAAAATTCTGACCACGTCAGCCCAATGGACGTTGGTAGCTGTTCTCCACCCTGAACTAAACTGCAGTTAAGACCACCTGCTTGGCATGGGGCAGCTCAGCCTGTGGCAAGGACAGGGTCAGGGCTTGGTTCATGAGTGAGGTCAGGGATAATTCTGGGGACCAGGAAAAGGGTTCCTTCTATGGCTGGGGTAGAACCAAGACTGAAGCCAGGGATAGGGCTCAGCCTAGAACCAGAATGGGGTCCCTTCCTGTGGCCAGGACTTCAGGGTTCAGTTTAGGACCAAAGTTGGGGTTCCTTCTATGACCAGAGGCAGAGTTAAGTCTGGGAACAGAACTGGGCTCAGATCACAGAAAGAAAGAGCCTCACGCCTGTAATCCCAGCACTTTGGGAGGCCGAGGCAGGCAGATTACCTGAGGTCAGGAGTTCGAGACCAGCCCGGCCAACATGGTGACACCCCGCCTCTACTAAAAATACAAAAAAAAAAAAAAAAAAATTAGCCGTGCATGGTGGCGGGTGCCTGTAATCCCAGCTACTTGGGAGGCTGAGGCAGGAGAATCACTTGAACCCAAGAAGTGGAGGTTGCAGTGAGCCGAGAACGTGTCATTGCACTCCAGCCTGGGCAACAAGAGTGAAACTGTCTCAAAAAAAAAAAAAAAAGAAAAAAAAAAAGAAAGAAAGAGCCTGTCAACTGTCACGTACAGTGGGACATGCCCATGACGAGGCTGTTGATGGCCACATGTATAGCACATACCCACAGTGAGGACAACGGTCACACGTAATGGGACAGTCCCATGAAGAGGCTACTGACTGTCACGTCAGGACATGATCAAGTATATCTGGACGTGCACATGACAAGGTTGTTAATGGACACATATATAAGACCTGCCCATGAAGAGGCTGTTGATGGTCAACCAGGGCTTGTGCCCAGAACATGCCCCATCAAACCCCAACACACTCCTGCTCCCCTCCTGCCGCGCTCGAGGCCCTGCCCCATCATCCCACCGACAGTACTCCTGTGGCCTGTGGGGTCAGCAGGGCCACCTGTCAATGAGTGCACAGTCACCAAGAGGGTAAAATAAACACAGAGCTGACACAGCCAGTGCCTGGCAGAGCCAGCAGCAGACCCTGGTCACCTCACTACCGCTCTCTCCTCACTTGGATGAAATGCAGGAGTAAAGTCAAAGTGGAGACGTGGAAAACCAGAGGCAGCACACGCACACACATGCACACACATGCAAACATACTGGTGGGCCAGGCCCTGCTCCCCGTCATCTGTCCTGGACACCCCACTGTCCATCCCCAGCCTCTCACATCTCACCCCTTCCACATGCCACCCTCTCCTCACCCCACAAGCACCAAATTTCCCCATCGCGCCAGCACCCACCCATTCACCTCTGACCTGCTCTTGTACCCACCTGTCCTTCCTACCCTCTGGCTGGACCGCCTGCCCTCCCGTACCACCTGTGTCTCCCGGCCCTGTCTGCCCATCATGGACCGTCCACCTGCGTCCACCTCCACCGCCACCCCCGCCACTCACCAAGTTCCTCGAGCTCAGCTGTCATGGACTTGGAGCGCAGGGTCAGTGTGGTGCTGGGGGCCCTCTTGGGGGGCGGTGGGGCTGCAAAGAAGAGGGAGGCCTTGGACCTCCTGTCCAGCAGCAGGCGGCGCGGCGTGGCCAGGTGCAGGTGCCACTTGCGCTCCACCGCCTGGATCTCCTCGTACTCCCGCGAGGATGAGTCGCACTGTGCCAGGATCTTGTTCAGGTTACGGCTGGACGCAAACTTCTTCATGGCTCAAGGAGCTCAGGGAGTGCGGGGGGGGGGGGGGCGGGCGGTCAGGGCCTCAGGGGCCCTGGGAACCCCCAGAATCAGGGCCTCAGGAGACGATCAAGGGTGCTGGCGGGGGTCACGGTGCCGGCTGGCTCTGGCCTGAGCACCCACCCTGCAGGCTTCGAGGGCTAAGCAAGGGGGCACCAGAGCCATGGGGTGGGGGCTGGGAGGGGTCTCCTTGCGGGCGGGGCTCCTGCTGCTCCAGGGCTCCCCCCAGGCCCGGGTGGCCACTGCCCCTTGTGGGGCCAGGGTGTGGTCAGCCAAGCCACGGGCCTGGGCTGGGCCTGGCCGGCAAAGCCTCCTGGGCCCAGGCTGTGCCGCGTCGTCGCGGGGAGAAGACGCTTTTCCTCTTCCCTCAGGTGCCGCCTCCCCCTTCCCTCCGACAATAAGCAGCGCGGCAGCGTCAACCTCACAGTTGCTATGGCAACCCCGGCCTCCAGGCAGCTGCTGGCGGTGTAGGGAAGGAGGGCTCTGCCACGCCAGGGGCTGGGGGAACGCCGGGAAGGAGGGGGCAGGGATCTGAGGAGGGGCAGCCTGAGGTCAGGGGTCAGGGGTCAAAGGCCTCAGGCCAGGGGACAGGACTGGCAGTCTAGCACCAGGGATCGGGAGGGGTCCCAGCCCACACGTGTGGGTGGTTCATTGAGGTTCAGGAATCTGATGTCAGCAGTTGGGGGTCAGGGATGGGAAGAGGAATGTGGGCCTGAAGTCAAAGGTCTAAGGTCAGGGGAAAGTTTGGGCACAGAGGCCTGAAGCGTGACCCCTCACCTCTGCGCCGAGCCCCGTCCTCTTCTGGCTTCCTTGTCACAGACACAACCTTCATGACGAGGCGGTTGCCACCCTGGCGAATCAGAGCCACCACCTGCTTGTGTCCGACCTTCACCACGTTCACCCCGTTCACCTGGGATAGACAGGCAGCTGGGTGGGGACGCCCCAGGCACGTCCACCACAGGGCTCAGGGCTCAGCATCCCACTGGGCAGCACCGGCCAGAACGACCTCACCTCGATGAGGAAGTCTCCCGTGCGCAGCCCGGCCCTCCAGGCCACACCCTCCACGTCCACCGACTCGAGATACTGCAGCGCCGGGAAGGCTGGCGTGGGCGTGAACTCCTCGATGGGGGTCTCTGCTGCGGGGGGCAATTAGGAAGGCGCTTCACCAGCTAGGTTCGGGTGGGGGCGGCTGCCACACAGCAACCTCCGAGTGGCTCAGCACAGGAAAGAGATGACTGCGGGGGGCAGTGACCCGGGGCTGGGGGAGGGCCACGGGGAGCCACAGCGCAGGGACGAGCCGGCCCAAGGATCCTAGACATGACCCTCTGCAAAACTCCCTTTGCCCATGCCAGAAAAGCCCCCACTCGGTTAGACTCTAGAGCAAAGACAGTGGAAAACAACGAAGGGAAGGAATTGCCGCCTGGGCCGGGACGTTGCAAACCACGACGGTCGCGACCGAGCAGAGGAACCAGGAAAGCCGGGGCCAAAAGCGGGAGCCGCAGGGGCAAGGCAGGGAGGGAGTGTGGGGCAGAGCAGAGTTGGGGGCAGAAGCAAGAAGCTGAAGACATCCCTGAGCGGTGTGCAGCCCCTGCCTGCCTGACCCCCGGGCACCCACTCCCCATTACCTTTGGCTCCCCGGAGCACAAAACCAAAGCCCTCGTGGTCCCGTTTCTGCAGGACAGCCACTTTGTCATCAATGACATAATCGCTGATGAAGGAAAGCAGGGAGGAGTGAGGTAAGCCCTGCCTCGAGGTTGGCCGGCCACAGTCCACCCTGCAGTCACCCCGGGACTGACAGGCCGGGCAGCAGAAGAGAGGTCGGCCAGGCACATTCCCTTGCCCTCCTCTGACCTCTTCATACCTGGCCTCCCTCTACACTGCAGGTCCTGCCCCACGTCCCACATGCATGCTCCCGCCAGCCAGGGTCCCTGCACGTACCTGTGTGAGGTGAGGCTGTCGTAGGAGCCCACTGTGTAGTGCCGAAAGAGCCGCTTCGTCCGGTCCTCCCGCGTTTCTGAAGGGAGTATCGGGAGCTGATGGACAGTCGTGGCCTCCAGCTGGCCTGCCTCAACTGCCCTCACCCATGCTGGTCACCAGTCTCTGCCCACACACACCCCCTTGGCCTGGTTGTGTCCAGATGGAAGTAGGGGGCCCCAAATCCTGGAGTCCTGGGTCCAGAGGTAAGAAGGCTGAGGGGATGATGTAGGGAATTCTGACCTCCGTGGGTCAGGGCCCAAGAGGGGGCAGCAGCTCATCTCTTTCCTAAGTAGCTGCTGAACCAGGAGTCCAAACAAGGCCAGAGCCGTCCACAGAGCGTAAGTGAGCCCCAAGGCTGCGAGCAAAGAGGGGGGTGTGCACATACGTGTGTGTGTGAGAGATCCGTGGTCATGTGTAGATGCTGTGCTCATGCACGTGTCTCTATATGAGCCCACTGTGTGCAAGTGCCGTGCTCATGTGTCTGTGTGACCTGCCGTCATGTGCGTGTGAGGTGTGTTCATGCATGTGTGTGTGCACATCTGAATCTGCATTACCCACACTCATGTACAAATGCCGTGCTATGTGCCTATAGGCGCTGGCATGGAAGCAGCGTTCTGTCTTCACCAACTTCTTCACAATAGCTCCTTGATGCTCAACCTCATGGGGTCCCTTGCTTCAGACTAACTGTGAGTGGGGCAGGGGATCTAGGTGTGTGGGCTGGGTCCCCTGCCCTGACCTCGATGCATCCCACAGAGCTTGGTCCCCAACTGTCCTCTTGATCTCAAGTCCCACATGGCCAGCACCAAGCTAGCCAGCTGTCTGCCCACCACTCCACCCTCACTGACCTGAAGGTTCGAGCCACACCTCCAGCCATGACCTCTCTGCTCCCACGAGCTCCTCCAGCTGCCTGCGAGCCCCACCCACCAGCCTTCCCAGCCCCGCAGCTCCACTCTCCAGGACCGCAAAGGCCCCACAGGCAGCACCACCACTGCCTCGCTTTCATCCCTCAGCACCTTCCTCATTTCCTCTCTTGGTAGCATTTCTCAAGATCCATGTTTTCCTTCAGCAAGTATTTATTGAGCTCCTACTGTGTACCAGCTCTGCAAATACAGCAGAGAAGAGAACAAAGTCTCTGCACTCGTGGGGTTTATAATCTGTTCTGGGAGACAGGATAAACAGAGGATAAAGACATAGCATGCGAATGCTGGCAAGTGCTCAGGAGACCAGCGAGCAGATCAGGGAGGGCAGAGAAAGGCACGCAAAGGCCTCACCCCCACGGGAGGGCTGAGCAGAGGCTGAGGATGGGGAGCAGCCTGTGGATATGTGGGCAAAGGGCTTCCCAGGAGCGGGGGTGGTCAGGGGAAGCCCACGGCAGGCATCAGCCTGCAGCATTTGAGAGAGTTCAGAGCCTGTGCAGCTGGAGCAGAGGGAGCTAGAGAGAGTGGCAGGAAATGAGATCAGAAAGATAACCTGCAGCTTTCGATGACCTGTTTCCCCCACTAATTGTGAGCTCCTTGAGGGTAAGGGCCACATGTTCTTTATCTCTGTGATCCTAGCACCCAGCACAGCACCTGGCACGTCACAGGCATTCTGCATGCTGACTAGGAGAGTAAATGGTGGACAGGTGCATCTGAGATAGACGGACAGAAGGGATGCTGACTAGGAGAGTAAATGGTGGACAGGTGCATCTGAGATAGACGGACAGAAGGGTGGATTGAAAGGCACTGGACCAGTGGATGGAGGGAGGGAAGGAGAGGGCCATGGGTAGATAGGTCAAAGAGCAGACAGATACATGGGTAGATGGATGGATGGACTGGGTGTGTAGACAGGTAGGTGGAGAGGTGGATGGATGGAGGAAGGGAGGGGTGGTGGATTGGGTTGGCTGGTGAGTCAACGGTTAAGAAGATGATGGTGGGATGGGTGGGTGAGTCAAAGGATAGATGGCTGTAAACATAGGTGGAGCAGTGGCCGGACGGAAAGAGGAAAGAGTGCCTATTTCTATCAGAAGACACAGATATCAAAAAAGTATCGGGCTGGATTCCAGGTCCCAGCTACTACGTTGTGTGACTCTCAGTAAGTCAACAGCCCCCTCTAAGCCCGCCCATATAGAATAGAGAAATCCAACTTGGAGGATCCCCTTGGTTCTGATGACCTATATCTTATCCTGGCATTCCCCAACCACACCTGCACCCCTCATCCCGCTGAACCTAAGGCCAGCTCAGGCCAAGCCTCATCACCACTCAGGTGGGGCATCAGACCCCTCCTTTCCTCCATCACACCCTTCTCCACGTCGACAGAGGCACGGAAGTGTCATGGTGCTGCCTGCTGAAGAACCCGCCACACTTGCACTTGACCAGCCTCCTGTTTTCAGATGTTGTCAACCAAACAAATTGTATGGATTACATAACACAAACTCATTTTTCCAGTTTTGTTAATAAGACACATAAAAGCCAGCTGAAGAGAAAATGCCCAACACAGCCATCTCCTACTACCCACCCAAGTGCTGACCTTACTGCAAAGAAAGGGAAGGAGGGAGGGGAGGGAAGGCACAGGGCCTGCTCCTGCTGGGCCTCCAGAACACACCTGACCTCGCTTCTCCATTCCCTCCCTCACAGCTCCACCCTCTGCCTGCCAGGAGGTGCCGTGGGAGACTGCTCTCTGCTGGGTAAGTGACCAGGACTCGCCTCCCAATCCCACAGCAGGCACCAGCTCTGGGCACCAGCCCCTGCACGCACAGGGACTATGTCCCCTCCCTAACCTTTAAGTCCTTTTCTGTCCCCACTCCAGTCCCGGAAATGGATTTTTTTGGGGGGTGGGGGGAGCAGATCTGGGCCTGTTGGAAGCAGGTTCCTGTTCCTGGGCTGCACTCTGGCCTCTGGCAGAACTCGGCCCCGGGATCCCAGAGCAGAGGCTCTGCGCAGTGTGGCCAGCAGGGCCTGCAGCCGAGGTCAGAGGGCACTGTCACTGCTCCCACTCCCTGCCCTTCGCAGGCAGCCTCCGCAGGTCCCTCTCCCGCTGCCCACTCATGAAATACTCCCGTCTACCCCGGGACCTCTGACACTCACTCCCCAGGTCACACACACCATGGCTGCTGGCTGGAGCCCAGACCTGAACCCTCCTCTCCATTGCTCTGCTCTGCCCAGCCCAGGCTTTGATCCTACACAACCTGCACAATCAGACACTGCGGCTGGGTTCCCTCCGCCATGATGCCACACTGTCACTTGACTCCATGCCACCTGACCACCCTCGTGGTCCCCACACCAGCCTCGCCCCTCACCCCATGCAGGCGTTTCACTCACATAGAACTTGCTGCCTGTGTTGCAAACAAGACTTTGCCCCTCAGGGCCATGTGACCCCCTAGAAATGGAATAACAACAAGTGGCCCCACCTCTTGGGACTGCTGGGATGAGTCAACGACTTATACGTGTAGAAGTGCTAAAACTGTGCCAGGCACTCAGAGCAGGCCGTGCTGACACACAGCTGTAGAGCGCCACACGGACCCTGCACACACGGCTGTCCCCTCAGCCCCAGCCGCTGACCACCTAGAGGACTCAGCTCAGACAATGCCTCTGCTTTGAGGCCCTCTCTGACTCCTTCAGGCCAGCCCAGGGAGCTCCCACGCTCACACGGCCCCCGTCACAGCCACTGCTCCCACAAGGCTTCCAGCTGAGCCTCCGTGATCCCGGCTCCCAGCACAGGGCCCAGCACATGACAAACACCTAAAAAACATTTGCTGCTCTCCAATTCTGACTCCAGCCTAAACCCCCCTCCCTCCCCGTCAGCTTCAGACGTAGGTCCAAATGCCCCTCACTCCACACAGTCCTCAAACCAGAACCTTCCTCACCACCACGTGGGGGAGCTCAAGACCCGCTCCCGCCACAGGTGTGGATCCCCCTACCTCTCCTTCCCCTCCCCTCTCCCATACTGTCTGAACCAGGGCCCAAATCTCTGAAACCATTTCCCATCTGGACCCTGCCCTATCCACCCTCCGCGGGCTGAGAACAGGGGGCCAAGTCCCTTCCACACTCTAAGCCACCAGTCAGAGCAAGGCAGAACAAGGCCAAGGAAGGAGGAAAGGGCACCGGCCCAGGAAAAGGTCAGTGGCGAAGCTCCTGCCTCCCTGGGCCTCTGCTGAGCTCAGCACAGGGCAGGGGTCCAGGCCGTACAGGGGTGGAGTCGCTGGGAAACTCTCAGAGGTGGGGACACAGAGATGGGGACACAGTAACCCCAGGCCTGAGCCCTTCACATGCAGAGGGAGGGTGCATGCACCCTTGATCCAGACACACCACCGATGGCCCCCAGTGACCATCACTCAGGAGAGGTTTGCTTGGCCCACCAGCTCTCCAGGACAGAAGCACATGCATGGATCTGGGGGCCTCCCGGGACCCCTGAGGGTTCCTTGCAAGGGCACCCCCAAGACACGCACCCAGCTCCAGCCCGGGGGCCCCCAAAGGACCAGATGGTCAGCAGGGCTGGACAGCAGCCACTCACCAACCCAGGAGCTGCAGCCTTCACCTTCACATCCTCCCTGCAGGCTGAGGACCAGCCCAGCCTCACCTGCTGCCCTCAGACCATCCCTGCCCCAGGGCACTCACCAGGGCACCTCCAGGCCCAACTGGCCTCATTTCCTCTTGGCTGCTCCGGGCCTGCCTGCTCTGCCCACTTGGACAATCTGTCCACTTTGGAAAAACGCCTCTTTTCTCACACTGACCTCCTTACATGTCTGCCAGCTACGCAGGAATCATGCGTTCCACACACCTGGTGTTTCTGAAGGACTGTGCTGGTGGGGTGCAAGTCACTGGGAGTCAATGTGGGATCACACAGACAGAGGCCCCGTCACACACGTCCTATGTGTCTCCACTGCACGTGAAGCGTCAGGTTACATACACGCATGTTCCCAAGTATATGCAGAGTGTGTGCACACGTGTCTGTGTCATGTACACAAGTTTGCATCTACTTTGAGTGTTTGTTTGAGTTTACCTCTAGTCTTTTCTCTATGAATATCCATGTGGATTTAGCACCAAGAGAGAACAAAGGGAAACTGGAAGGGGTGGTCCCCTTGGGAGCTGCCCGGGGGGCCGTGGGGTCACTCACCAGGCCGTGTGTCATGCTGCCTCATCTGCACTTCCTCCACGCAGTCGGCCGGGAACCAGCCCGTGCGGCCTTTCACGGTTCCCTCCCAGAAACCGCCCTCCCCAATGCTGAGCACTGGAGGAAGAAGCCAGACAGGCTGTCAGTGGGGAGCAGAGCTGGGCGCCTACCCCACCTCAGGAGCAGGTTCTGCCCACCCACCCCCTGCCCTTTCCCTCCTTCCCTTCCCACTTTCTCCCAGCTTTTTCCCTGGGAAGATTTTGGGATCCACGCAGAAGAGAGAAAGGAACAGATGGGCTCGGCACAGGGTGGGCATGTGGGGGACAGAGAGACACACAGATGGACACACTCGGGGAGGGGCGCAGGCAGGGGCAGGGGCCACACTCCTGCTGCTGCCCCCACCCCCAGCTGACCATGCTCCCCCAGCCCCTTCAACCGACCCCCATCCTGGCTCTGTCACCCACCCAGGGGTCACTGCCGAGAGCTCGGGGTCATCGTGCTGTGGCCAGTGGGTGAGGCCACGTGATGCACCAGCTGGGCTGTTTCCACCTCAGCCGGCCCTGAGGCTAGGAGCCCAGTGATGGCCCCAAGACCCCCAGAATGAGAGGGGTTTGTCATGGCACGCGATCCCCCCAGAACATAGGAAGCCCCGGTGACAGAAGCCTGCATAACACAAACACCCACATGACGGTCACAGACACCCCACGACGGCAAGGGTCCCCCACATCGCAGGGGCCTCCAATGGAGAAGCTGCAGAAGTGCCACGGGAACCCCGCAATGCAAGGAAGCTCTGTAATGGGACAGGGTCCTTCAGGCAGAGACCCCCAGGGACACAGAAACGCCCGTGGCGAGAGAGGAGCCTCCGTGGTGACACAGGGAGCCCGGAACGACAGAGCACCGGAGGGACCCGCACGGCAGGAACCTTCCCCAGGCAGAGCCCTTCACCGTGACACCAGGGATCCCACAAGGGCCCAGGGCCGCCCCGGCAGAGGAGACCCCAGAGCCACTGCCCCGGCCCGGCCAGCACCGCGCGCGGCGCCGCCCCCTCCCCGCGCCGGGCCCGCCCCCCGCGCCCCCCCGCGCCCCTCACCCTTCACGGCCTCGCCGCGGTGCAGCGGGATCTCGCCTTCACCCTGCGGGCTGTGCGCCTTCACGGCGATGAACTTGCGGCCGGGGACGGCGCTGTAAAGTTTCCGCTTCGGGCCCCGGGGCGGCGGTGCGGGGGGCGCAGGGGGCGCGGGGCCGGGGCCGGGCGCGGGGCCGGGGCCGCCGGGCCCGCTCGGGCTGTAGACGAACACGTAGGTGACGGACGCGATGCCGGGGGGCAGCGGGCACGCGAAGCCGGCGCCCGGGGCCTCCATGGCGCGCGGCCCGGCCCCGCCGCCGGCCTCACCGCAGCCGCCGCCGCAGCGCCCGCCGCCCGCCGCCCGCCGCCCGCCTGCCCGCCGGGGGCCCGGCCCGGAGCCGCTCCATGGGCCGTGCCGCCGCGCCCGGCCCGCTCCCGCCAGCGCACGAGCCGCGCCCGCTCAGGGCTCCGGGGCCGCGGGGCTGCGCTCCTGGGCGCGCCAGGCTCGCTCCATGCCGCGGCCGCCCCGCGCCCCGCCTCCTCCACGGCCGGGCTCCTCCCTCTGCGGGCGGTGGTGGCGGCCCTCGCGCCCTCCCTCCCGCCCTCCCCTCGCCGCCGACCCCCGGGAGGGGGAGTTCGGACGCGGACGCGGGACGGTGGTCAGGGCAGCCTAGTGGGAGCGGGGGATGGGGCGGGGGCTTCGGGCACCAGCAAAGCCGCCTGGAGCCGGTGAACGGGAGGGAGGGGCGCCCCCCCCACCCCTCCAGGTCCAGGGCCCGGATCGCTGGGTGCCCAGTCCCCCTCTAGGCCTGGGTCCCCTCGTCCTGGACACCGGCCCCTGCCCACGCCCACTGCGTGAAGCCCACCTTCCCCAGACCACTCCCAGACTGGGGTAGAGCCTGAGCTCTCGCTCCTCCACTGGGGCTCTGCTCAGAAGCCTGCAGTGGCTCCCTAGTACCCAGGCAGGCCAGAGCCACCCGCTTTTCCAAGAGCCAGGCTCCCTGGGGCTTGGCAGTTTGCTACGCTCTAGTCACACGGGGCACCTCTCCTTCCCCTCCTGTGGGCTGTCCGTCACGCAGTTGCCAACACCTGAACTACTCTAACATCCTGACCCCTGGGCCAGCTGTTAAGTGACGGGCTCTCAGCCCAAACTCCCCCGCCGTGCCCCGTGTGATACTGGGGGGCTGATGGGGGTCGGGTCCCGGTCCGGCTCAGCCGACAGAGGGCGCAGCGACCCGCGCGGTGCAGGGCCCAGCCTCGCCTCCCCCAGGGGTGACTTCTCTCCTCGGGGCACCGAACTTCCTCAGCCCCTCCCGAGAGCTGCAGACCCTTGTCCACTCACCAGGGCAGCCCCATAAGGGGATCACTGCCCACCTAACTGCTGCTTAGCCCGGGCCCTCGGCTGTCAACTTCCTGAGACCCACCACCTCTGACGCACCAGGCACCCAATAAATGTTTGCCAGGAAGGAAAAAACAGAATTCTGCCATCCCCACAGAGCAGGTGAGCTGGAGCCCCTCACACAGCAGGTCTTAGTTTTGTGTCTGCTGAAAGGATGAATGAACACATACAAAAAATGAATGCAGGGAGGAGCCTGTGGCAACGCGTGCCTCCAACTCAGGAGCAGCCTTTCTGCGGGATGGAAACATCCGGAATGCAGAATGTGTTCTTTCAGCCACTGGGCCGCCCAGCCCTTAGAAAATCCGCGGGTCTATAAGAAAGCTTCAGGGGAGAATTGAGATTTGGGGCAGTACAGCCAGCCTTGCGAGTCCAACAAGCCCAGGCAAAGACAGACACGGAGACATCGCTGAGACCAGGCTGCAGAGCAGGGGCGGCAGCACAGGAAGGGGCGCCTTCCATAGGCCCTGCTGCACCCTGAGCCCTCTGCTGAACACTCAGGCTTAGAAAGTTGGGGATTGGGTCTACCTGGGGCCCAGTGAAGCTGATCCGTAGCTCTGTGACTCTGGACCCGTCACAGGCCCCACCTGCGTACCAGGACGCTCATCTGTAACATGGTATTAATAGAGCATGAACATGTACGTTCGTCAAGGTTAAAGGAGCTAGTATACACATGCCATTCAGCCCAACAGCGGGCCTGGACTGACAGAACT
Source organism: Homo sapiens (assembly GCF_000001405.40). Lineage (NCBI taxonomy): Eukaryota > Metazoa > Chordata > Mammalia > Primates > Hominidae > Homo > Homo sapiens. Next base: position 31,830 of record NW_015148969.2, on the reverse strand, counting down.
GTAAAGGCCGGCGGCCATCCTGACAACAACATACTGTTTATGTAACTCTTCCACTCAACAATGTCTGCCAAACACCCTCCTCAGTGCCTGGCTCTGATGAAACTAGGAAACGACAAAGACGGTGCCTGCCTTCAAGGCACAGGGAGGGCAGGTGCTTTTACCGGCAGTTGCCAGACTCTGCCAGGTGATCCCTCACCTGCCCAGGGCATTCTGGAAGGCTTCCCAAAGACAATGACTTAGGTAGGACTATTCCCACTTACTGATGAGAAGCCCAGGCACAAAGTGGCTGAGAGCCAGTGCGCCCACCTCAGCACCCAATGCACAGCCCAGAGAGGCCAGTGGGCTCCGGTCCAGGCATCCCTGCCTCAGGGACCCAGGCCTCAGGGTGAGGGTAAAGAATAGAAGCCACAGAGTCCTGTAGGTGTGCCAGGGCTGGGGGAAACCATGAGTATACCCTGGGGACAGGGCTGGGGCTTACCTGTAGGTTTTGGGCCCTACTGGAGTGGCAACTCCATCCCTGTCCCCCTTACCACAGGCCACCAGCCCTGACTCTTCCCAGCCATGCCTGACAATGCAGTGTGTTTTCTAAATCACAGGTAGGAGCATACCCTCTCCACCTAACACGCTCCCTCAACTGCCCACTGTCCTCATGGCAAGCCCAGCTCCAACCGGAAATCAGCGTGCATGTGCCTGTCCCCACCTCCAGAGATGCCTTCTTCCCTTCCCCAACCAGGAAGCCCTAGCCCATCACTACACAGGTGCTATGCACCACCAGGCCTCTCTCTGCCTCCCGGTGCTGGCTCCTCCTGGCTCAGGTCCCGGCACCCCACCCTCCCAACCCCTCCAGGGCCTGCCAGCCCCCTCCTACCTGATCTTGCTTTGGCCGGCCCTGCCTGCTAAAGGGCCACTGATGTTGCTCTCCTGGTCGGCATCCCGGTCACGATCTTTCTCCTCTTGCAGCCGCTGGAGCAGCAGCTGGTGGGGGAGGCTTCTCAGCGAGGGTCCAGGAGAAGCTGCTGGCTGTGCCTCCCCCTTCAGGTTGATATCGCTGGCTGAGCGCTGCAGAGGCCGAGGGGATGCCAAGCCACTGGGGCCAGCCAGTCGCCGCCGCTTCGCATAGCTGGGGGTTTCCCTGAATGGTACTGGGGTAAGGGGGCATAGGTAAGACTCTGAACAGCCAGCTGGGTGACCAACTTGTCCAGTTTGCCCAGGCTTTCCAGATGTTAAAACTAAATCCTATGTTCCAGGAACTGCCTTGGTTCCAGGCAAACCAAAAGAGTTGGCCACCCTACAAATGAAGCTACCATTAAGGGGCCACATCCCAGTCAAACTGCCTCTCACCCTAGCTTCAGAGGTAGAAGCCTGCTTCTCCTCTCAGCCGAAAGGGGCCTTGAGGGTGCTCAGATATGCTCTAAGAACTGCATTTCACAAGCTTCAGGAGAGACAAAACAGGCTACATGTGACGAATCTCACCAGACTACTGCTGAACAGGACCATTTGCAGTTAACTATAACCAGGGAAACTATAAAAGACATTCTAGACCAGGGATCAGCAAACCTTTTCTGGAAAGAATTGGACAGTAACTACTTAAGGCTTTGCAAGCTATATAGTCTGTGTTGCAATGACTCAACTCTGCCACCGCAGCATGAAAACCACCACAAACAACATACAAGCAGATAGGTGTGTTTGTGTTCCAATAGAATTTTACTTAAAAAGCAGATAGTGATTAAAAAGTATTATCCAACTATATGCTACTTACAAAATAATCACTTTAAATCCAAAGACACAAATAGGTTCAAAGTGAAAGGATAAAAAAAGCAATCTAATGTAAATAGTAACCAAAAGAGAGCTGGGTGGTTATATTAACATCATACAAAATAAACTTTAAGATAAAAACTGTAACAAGAGACAGAGAAGGACATTATATGTTGATTAACAATTACTAACATATACACACCGAACAACAGAACATCAAAATATGATACAAACAACACAATTTAAGAGAGAAATAGACAGTTCCACAATAATAGTAAGAAACTTTAATACCTTACTTTCAATAATGGGTAGAACATCTGGAGAGATCAATAAGGACATAGAAGACTTAAACCAATTAGACTCAACGATACGTACAGAACATGCCACCCAACAAGAGCAGAATATATTCAAGAATTCTTCTCGAGTACACATGGAACATTCTCCCAGACAGACTGTATGTTTGGCCGCAAAACAAGTCTTGATAAAGTTTTAAAAGACTGAAATCATACAAAGTATCTTTTTCAACCACAACGAAACAAAGCTAGAAATCGAGAAGTGAAAGAAAACTGGAAAATTCACAAATATGTGGAAATTAAACACCATACTCCTAAGCAACCAATGTGTCAAAAAAGAAACCAGGCTCAAAAAAGAAATGGTGGCTCAAGCCTATAATCCCAGCACTTTGGGAGGTCAAGGCAGGAGGATCACTTGAAGTCAGGAGTTTGAGACCAGCCTGGACAACATAGTGACACCCCCATCTCTATAAAAAATAGAAAAAGCCAGGTGTGGTGCTGCACCCTGTAGTTACAGCTACTCAGGAAGCTGAGGTGGGAGGATGGCTTGAGACTAGGAGATTGAGGCTGCAGTGAGCCAAAATCAAGCCAGGGCACTCCAGCCTGGGCCATAGAGTGAGATCCCATCTCTAAAAAAAAAAAAAGAAAGAAAGAGAAAAAAGAAATCAATCATAAGGAAAATTAGAAAACACTTTAAGACAAACAAGAACAAAAATACAACATATGGAGCAAAAGCAGTACTTAAAGGGAAACAACGCTGTAAACACTTACTTTTAAAAAGGAAAACAATCTCAAATCAATAACCTAATTATACATCTTAAGAAACAAGAGAAGGCCGGGTTCAGTGGCTCACGCCTGTAATCCTAGCACTTTGGGAGGCCAAGGCAGGTAGATCACTTGAGGTCGGGAGTTTGAAACCAGCCTGACCAACATGGAGAAACCCCGTCTCTACTAATAATACAAAAATTGGCCGGGTGTGGCAGTGCATGCCTGTAATCCCAGCTACTCAGGAGGCTGAGGCATGAGAATTGCTTGAACCCAGGAGGCGGAGGTGGTGGTGAGCCAAGATTGCGCCATTGCACTACCGCCTGGGCACCAAGAGTGAAACTCCATCTCACGAAAAAAAAGAAACAAAAAAGAAACGAGAAGGCGAGGCTCAGTGGCTCATGCCTGTAATCCCAGCACTTTGGGAGGCCAAAGCGGGAGCATCACTTCAGCCCAGGAGCTCAAGACCAGCCTAGCAACATAGTGAGACCTTGTCTGTATGAATGAACCAATAAAAGAAAAGAAAAGAGGCCGGGCACAGTGGCTCATGCCTGTAATCCCAGCACTTGGGAGGCCGAGGCAGGCAGATCACCTGAGGTTGGGAGTTCGAGACCAGCCTGACCAACATGAAGAAACTCTGCCTCTAAAAAATACAAAATTAGCCAGGCATGGTGGTGGGTCCCTGTAATCCCAGCTACTCGGGAGGCTGAGGCAGGAGAATCGCTTGAACCCAGTTGGCGGAGGTTGTGGTGAGCTGAGATCACACCATTGCACTACAGCCTGGGCAACAAGAGCGAAACTCCATCTCCAAAAAAAAAAAGAGAGAGAAGAAAAGAAGAAACTAGAGAAAGAAGAGCAAACAAAATAAAGAGGAAGGAAGCAAGAGAGGGAGGGACGGAGGGACGGACAGACTAGAGAAAGACCAAAAAGAAACAAACAAAAAAACAAGAGAAAGAAGAGCAAACCAAACTAGCAAAAGAAAGAAAAGCTAGCAGAAGGAAGGAAACAGTAAGATTAGAGCAGAGATAAACAAAAGAGAAAAACAGCGGAGAATCAAGGAAATAAAAGGTTGTTTCTTTGACAATATCAACATAATTGACAAACCTTTGGCTAGATTGACTAGTAAGGAGAGAAGATGGACAGAAATAACTAAAATCACAAATGAAATTTGGGGACTTACTATCAGTGTTACAGAAGTTAAAAAGGAATATAACACTATGAACAATTACATGCCAACAAATAGAAAAGCTAGATGAGGTAGACAAATTTCTAGAAAAACACAAATTACCAAAACTGACTCAAGAAGAAACAGAAAATTTAAACAGACCTATAACAAGCAAAGAGATTGAATCCTTAACCACAAGCCTCCCAACGAAGAAAAGTCCACCACCAGATGGCATCACTGGTGCACTCTACTAGAAATTTAAAGAATTGACACAAATTCTCAAACTCTTCCAAAAAACAGAAGAGGAGGGAACACTCCCTCATTTCACGAGGCCAGTATTACCCTGCTACCAAAGCCAGATAAGGGCATTGCAGGAAAAGAAATCTACAGACTAATGTAATCAATATAATACATCACATTAATAGAACAAAGGGGGAAAAATGATCATTTCAATTGATGCATAAAAAGCATCTGCCATAATCCAACACTCTTTCATTATAAAAACACTCAGGAAACTAGTAATAGAAGCTAGTAACTTCCTCAACATAATAAAGGAAATTTATTAAAAATCCGAAGTGCTTGCTTCTGCAGCACATATACTAAAATTAGAATGATTCAGAGATTAGCATGTCCCCTGCACAAGGATGACATGCAAATTAATGAAGCATTCCATATTTAAAAAACAAAAAACAAACAAACAAAAAAAACACACATAGATAGCACCATACACAATGGTGAAAGATTGAATGCTTTCCCCCTAAGATCAGGAACAAGGCAAAGATGCCTGCTTTTACTACTGGTATTCAACACCGTACTGAAAGTTCTAGACAGGCAAAAATAAAAATTAAAAAAAAGGCACCCAAATTGGGAAGGAAGAAGTAAAACTATCTCTATTTGCAGATGGCATGATCCTATATGTAGAAAATCCCAAAGAATACACCAAAAGAGCTACTAGAGCTAATAAACAAATTCAGCAAAGTTGTAGGGCACAAGATCAGCACACAAAAATCACTTGTTTTTACACACCAGCAATGAACAATCCAAAAAGGAAATTAAGAAAATAATTCCATTTATAATAGCATCCAGAAGAAGAAAATAATCAAGAATAAATTTAACTAAGGAAGTAAAAAAATCTATATACTGAAAATGACAAAACACTGCTTAGAGATGACCTAAATAAATAAAAGGACATCCCATGTTCATTAATTGGAAGACAATGGTGTTAAAATGTTAATGTCACCCAGAGTGATGACAGATTCAATGCAAAATTCCAATGTCCCTTTTTGCACAAATAGAAAAGCAATGTTCAAGTCTATATGGAATTGCCAGGGGCCCTGATTAGCCAAAACGATAACAAATAAGAACAAGTTGAAGCACTCAAACCTCCTGATTTCAAAAGTTACTACACTCCGGGTGCAGTGGCTCATGCCTGTAATCCCAACACTTTGGGAGACAGAGGCGGGTGGATCACCTGAGGTCAAGAGTTCGAGACCAGCCTGCCCAACATGGTAAAACCCCATCTCTACTAATAATACAAAACTTAGCTGGGCATGGTGGCACACACCTGTAATCCCAGCTACTTTGGAGGCTGAGGCAGGAGAATTGCTTGAACCTGGGAGGCGGAGGTTGCAGTGAGCTGAGACTGCGCCATTGCACTCCAGCCTGGGTGACAAGAGCAAAACTCCATCTCCAAAAAAATAAAAATAAAAAGTTACTACAAAGCTGCAGTAATCAAACCATGTGGTCCTGGCATAAGAATATACATGTAGACCACTGGGATAGAATTGAGAGTCCAAATAAACCCACATATCTAGGATCAATTCATTTTCAACAAGGGTGCCAAGACCATTCAATGGGAAAAGAATAGTCTCTTCAACAAATGGTGCTGGACAATTGGATATTCATATGCAAAATAATGAAGATGGCTCCCTACCTCACACCATAAACAGAAGTTAAAACTTAAAATGGATCAGTGACCTAAGAGTGAAAACCGTAAAATTCTTAGAAGAAAACCTAGAGGATAAACCCTCGTGACCTATGACACCAAAAGCATGAACAACAAAAGAAAAAAATAGATACCTTGAACTTTATCAAAATTAAAAATTCTTGTACATCAAAGGACATTATCAAAAAAGTGACAAGGATCTCCTATTCTACAGAGAAAATATTTACAAATCACATATTCCACACAAGTTTAGTATTCAGAATATATAAAGAACCCTTACAACTCAACAACAAAAATAAATGACCCAATTTAAAAATGGACAAAGGACTTGACTTTTCTCCAAAGAAGATATACAAATGCCCAATAAGCACATGAAAAGATGCAAAACATCATTAGTCACTAGGGAAATACAAGTCAAAATCACAATGAAATACCATTTCACACTTACTAGGATGGCTACGGTCAAAAAAAAAAGATAGTAACAACTGTTGGTGAAGATGTGAAAAAACCGGAAGCCTCATACATCACTGGTGGGAATGCAAAATGGTGGAAAACAGTTTGGCAGTTCCTCAAGAAGTTAAACATAGAATTATCATATGATTCCAAAATTCCATTCTTAGGTATATACCTAAGAGATTGAAAATAGATATTCAAACAAGTACATGTACACACATGTTGACAGCAGCAATATTCAAAACAGTCAAAAGGTAGAAACCCACATATCCATTGACAGATGAATGCATAAACAAAATGTCATTTATACCAACAGTGAAATATTATTCAGCCATAAGAAGGAATGAAGCAGTGATATATCCTACAAGGTGAAGCTCAAAAACATGTTGAGTAAAAGCAGCCAGACACTAAGTGTCACTTATTATATGATTCCATTGACATGAAATATCAAGAATAGGTAAATCTATAGTCCACAGAGACGAAAGTGTGTTAATGGCTGACAGAGTTGGAGGGAGAGGGTAATTGATGCAGAATTATTGCTTAATGTGTCCAGGGTCTTCTTTTGTGGTGATGAAAATGTTTTGAATTCAATAGAATCGGCTGCACAACACCGTGAATATACAGAACGCTACTGAATCATTCTGGCCTAGAAGTGGTCACCTCTGCTTCCTTGCCTCTGTCACGTCGGGTCACTCTTTGGGTCCACATTGTCTCTTACCCTCTCTCAGGCACACACTCCCAGGCACAGGTGTGTTCTCATGGGCATGACAGCACCCTGGAGAAGCATTTCCCCAAGGTACTCATCAAAAGCACTGTGGGATGCCCATTCCACGCCCAGGCCAGGGACCCCACCCAAGGCCTGTCAGTCTAGAGGGGGCAAGCAAGGCTGTCGAGAGGCAGCAAGCTATCCTGTTGCCTGAAGGGTTACACAGGTCCCAGTCTACCAGATCCCACCGGGTGGCACCTGCCCACCAGAGAAGGCGGCACCTCCTTCCAGTTCCTCTTCTGTGTACAGGCCCCACTCTGGGACCCCAGTGGGCATAGGATGTAGCAAGTCATGACTGTCCTGTCCTTGGAGCAAATGTGTACGGAGGGCATGGGAGTGACAAAGGCAGACCCTGAATCAATCAGGTCTGAATTAACCCCCTCTGTGCCTCAGTTTCCTTCTCCGTAAAACAGTCTAATCACTCCTTGGGGGGTTGTTGAGAGGGCAAATTGAGATAAGGGGCTTGTATTAAATCCTGACAAATATGCTGCCTGTACTCAGGGAAATCTGGCGGTGTCACCCTAGTGTCTGTGTGTGGCACCTGATCAGGTAAGGGTGTTGTTGGCCCATGGAGCCGACGACCACATCAGGATGAACTGACACAGGTGCCTGCTCCTTACCACTGAGGGACGTGTGTCTAACTCCAACCAAGCAAGCACACCTAGGTTGGATAGCCAGTAAGTCGCAACCATGGTGACTCCAAGAGCCCTGGGGTATCTGTCCACAACGCACAGATGAGGGGCAGATGGGGCCTTCCCGCCCTCCCTCCAAGCAACTAGACCAAGGCCACCGGCAAGAGTCCAGCCCCACCCAGGATCAAACGCCACAGGACACCACAGGGGGAAGGGGATGCAAATGACCATAAGAGACCATGTTTCACTTAAGAGAAACTGAGGCGCAGAGGTCCCAGACAGCTTTCCCACGGTTAGACAATTATAGGCAGAAGAGGAGGCCCTGGCCGGGCACAGTGGCTCATGCCTGTAATCCCAGCACTTTGGGAAGCCGAGGCGGGTGGATCACGAGGTCAGGAGATCAAGACCATCCTGGCTAACACGGTGAAACCCCGTCTCTACTTAAAATACAGAAAATTAGCCAGGCATGATGGTGGGCACCTGTAATCCCAGCTACTCGGGAGGCTGAGGCAGGAGAATGGTGAGAACCCAGGAGGCGGAGCTTGCAGTGAGCCAAGATCGCGCCACTGCACTCCTGCCTGGGCTACATAGGCAGACTCCATCTCAAAAAAAAAAAAAAAAAGAGGAAGAGGCCCCACACATGCACAAACCAGGGCCCTCCAACACTAAGGGCCACCTCCAAAACACCAGCCCAAACCAGAAGTAACTATCTGCTGCCCCTTATGCAAACCCAAACCTTACCACAGTTCTCCCCTGACCTGACCCTGGACTCCGATCCTACCCATCCCACTGGCCCAGTTACTTCCTCAACACACACTTCCCTGCAGTGGCCTTGAGAGCAGCTGTGGCATTCACCGAGGGTCTGCCACAGCCTCAGATGGTTCAACTGACACAGCCTGGGGTGGAGGGGCTCATAACCAAGCCTTACAGGGGGATGTTCAGGGGGAACTCTACAGAAGAAGGGCCCTTAAACATGAAACCGACCTTAATCTTAACCCCAGTCCAAAATTCAACTCCAGCCCTGACCATGACCTCACATTAGAACCAAGTGAGAGTCCAACCCTAACATCTGCTCCAGACGTTTGCTGCCCGCTGTCACTTCAAATTAAAACAAAAACAAAAAATGGGGACACCCACGAGTAAACACTCATGGCAGGAAGGGGGTCCTGGGAGTCCATATACCAGAGAGAGGCACAGGCACCAGAGGGGACTCCGGCAGCTACAACAGGATGGTCCCAGCCTGGCCAGCAGCAACTCTCCCAGAGGGGACTCTGGCAGCTACAACAGGACCGTCCCAGCCTGGCCAGCAGCAACTCGCCCAGAGGGGACTCCGGCAGCTACAACAGGACGGTCCCAGCCTGGCCAGCTACAACTCTCTCAGAGGGGACTCCGGCAGCTACAACAGGACAGTCCCAGCCTGGCCAGCAGCAACTCTCCCAGAGGGGACTCCGGCAGCTACAACAGGACGGTCCCAGCCTGGCCAGCTACAACTCTCCCAGAGGGGACTCCGGCAGCTACAACAGGATGGTCCCAGCCTGGCCAGCAGCAACTCTCCCAGAGGGGACTCCGGCAGCTACAACAGGACCGTCCCAGCCTGGCCAGCAGCAACTCTCCCAGAGGGGACTCCGGCAGCTACAACTCTCCCAGAGGGGACTCCGGCAGCTACAACAGGACAGTCCCAGCCTGGCCAGCAGCAACTCTCCCAGAGGGGACTCCGGCAGCTACAACAGGACGGTCCCAGCCTGGCCAGCTACAACTCTCCCAGAGGGGACTCCGGCAGCTACAACAGGACAGTCCCAGCCTGGCCAGCAGCAACTCTCCCAGAGGGGACTCCGGCAGCTACAACAGGACGGTCCCAGCCTGGCCAGCTACAACTCTCCCAGAGGGGACTCCGGCAGCTACAACAGGATGGTCCCAGCCTGGCCAGCAGCAACTCTCCCAGAGGGGACTCCGGCAGCTACAACAGGACGGTCCCAGCCTGGCCAGCAGCAACTCTCCCAGAGGGGACTCCGGCAGCTACAACTCTCCCAGAGGGGACTCCGGCAGCTACAACAGGACGGTCCCAGCCTGGCCAACAGCAACTCTCCCAGAGGGGACTCCGGCAGCTACAACAAGACCGTCCCAGCCTGGCCAGCAGCAACTCTCCCAGAGGGGACTCCGGCAGCTACAACAGGACGGTCCCAGCCTGGCCAGCAGCAACTCTCCCAGAGGGGACTCCGGCAGCTACAACAGGACCGTCCCAGCCTGGCCAGCAGCAACTCTCCCAGAGGGGACTCCGGCAGCTACAACAGGATGGTCCCAGCCTGGCCAGCAGCAACTCTCCCAGAGGGGACTCCGGCAGCTACAACAGGACCATCCCAGCCTGGCCAGCAGCAACTCTCCCAGAGGGGACTCCGGCAGCTACAACTCTCCCAGAGGGGACTCCGGCAGCTACAACAGGACGGTCCCAGCCTGGCCAGCAGCAACTCTCCCAGAGGGGACTCCGGCAGCTACAACAGGGCCGTCCCAGCCTGGCCAGCAGCAACTCTCCCAGAGGGGACTCCGGCAGCTACAACTCTCCCAGAGGGGACTCCGGCAGCTACAACAGGATGGTCCCAGCCTGGCCAGCAGCAACTCTCCCAGAGGGGACTCCGGCAGCTACAACTCTCCCAGAGGGGACTCCGGCAGCTACAACAGGACGGTCCCAGCCTGGCCCCACACCCACCAGAGACCTCCAAGAGGCTCGGGTATCCTGGCTGAGGCCACGTGTGTGTCTCCTGGTTTTCCTTCCAGGACCGTGAGTCACGCACACACCAGGCTTTCCTCTACTCGCAGGCAGCAGGGGGCTCAGAGCTCCTTGCCCTGAGGATGGCTATGGCACTATTCCCAGCCCCATTCTGCTTTCCCATCACTGTTGTTTTCCTTATGTGTCGTTTATATGATCTTTCCATGCTGAGAGCTTGCTACGGACCACCGAGACTCATGCTTGCTCCAGGGTGAAGTGAGGTCCACCACCCCCATGTCTCCTGCTGGCTCTTCCTAGGATTTAACGGGAAACAGGGACTCTGACCCTAACTTCAACCCCACTCTCAACCTATGCTGCCCCCTAAGCTGAATGCTAGCCCCGGCCCACAGCCCAAACCTCACCATGCTCTTCTCCCAGACCAAAAACAATGTTCACTCAACACAGGCCCTGTGGCCCGTTCCTCATGCCCGCAGTGGCCACTCAGAGACCACTGGCCACACAGTGTAGATGTGGGGTGTGGGGCCCCTTTATGTCACCACTGACCCCCACATCTGCTGGGCCCCAGAAAACCACACGAATCTACATTCAGCAGGGTCGCCCAGGTGGGCAGAACTCACCAACATCCGAGTCTTTGTGGGTCTTGATAACCTCTGCAAGCTCAAAGTTCCCTGCGATGATGGCCACCTGAGGGAAAGGGGAGGTCAAGGCCTTGAGGAGCAGGGAGGGGCTGAGCAGCACCAGCTTTGCCTCGCCAGCCAGCCCCAGCTGCTCCTTCTCCAGTTCGTGTGTGGAGTCTTCCTTGGTTGGGGGCCCCGGAGACCCCAGCCCATTCCTCTTCTCTACTGACACACACTCTTGTCTGTAACTGGGATGCCACAGGCACACCCTATAACTGGAGTGACCCACCCTCTGTCTGCCTGGGACTGAGGGGCTGCCTGGACAGAAGTTCAGAGCTAAAACCAGCAGTCCCAAGCAAACGGGCACACTGGTCTGTCCCAACATGCAGCCATGTTTCCCATCTCAGCCAAGGCCCCGCAGCTGCCCAAGCTGCCAAGCTCATCCTCCCCTTCCTGTGACCCTGCACCCAGTCATCCAACAGGCCCTGGCGTATCTGCTTCCCAGTGTGCCCAAACCCATCTGGCAGCCCACTGCTGCCTCCACCTTCTATGACCACACAACCTCAGCAGCCTGACCACTCTTCCCACATCTCACTCCTACTGAAAATAGAGGAGTTCTGGCTCTGTTCCTGGTCGGCAAACCCCCACAATATTCCCGACTCCCCAACAAACTCCAAGTCAGAGACCACGTCCACCTGGTCATCAGTGCCAACCAACCTGGCCAGAGAAAGGGCCCGGAAACCTCCCCTGAATTACATCAGCGGCTAGGATCACACCCCTCTCCACCACCCCCCTCTCCACCACCCCCCTCCACCATCCCCCCTCCACCACCCCCTCTCCACCATCCCCTCCACCACCCCCTCCACCATCCTCCACCATCCCCCTCCACCACCCCCTCCACCACCCCTCTCCACCTCACCCCTCCACCATCCCCCTCCACCACCCCTCTCCACCACCCCCTCCACCATCCCCCTCTCCACCCCACCCCTCTCTACCACCCCCTCTCCACCGCCCCCACCCCCACCACCCCCTCTCCACCACTTCCCTCCACCACCCCTCTCCACCACCCCCTCCACCCCTCCACCACCCCCTCTCCACCATCCCCCTCCACCACCCCTCTCCACCATCCCCCTCTCCACCGCCCCCCACCCCCCACCACCCCCTCTCCAGCACCCCACTCTCCACCACCCCCTCCACCACCCCCTCTCCACCCCCTCTGCAGTTTGGCTTCTGCACCCCTGCTGGTCTCTCGGGGTTGGGGGGTCAGACCCACACCTGTCACCCCAGTCTTCTCATTTTCCCCATACCCCTGCCCCAGAGCCCTGCTGACCCTCCTCTCTCCCTGGCGAGGGGACGAAGGGAACATCAACACCAAATACCCCTCGCGTGCTGGGCTCGTCCCCCAACACCTCCTGTGGGCAGTCCTGGGGGAGGTGCTCCCTTAGGGCCTTCCAGGGAAGAACCAAGGTTCAGAGAAGTCAAGTCACATGGACACAGAGACAGACACCTCTGGGGCAGCCTTGAGCTCCTGTAAACCACCGGTGTACCTGGAAGGCTGTCTGGCTGTTGTAGTTGCGGACATCCCTGTTAGCTCCACGGAAGAGCAGGACACGAGCACAGCTCTCCTGTTGCGGGGAAGAGGGAATCACAGCTGGGTGGCTGGAGAGACCATCCGAGCACAACAGCACATGCGCACACAGGAATGCACACATGGCGTGCGCAGGGCACAGGCTCACACACACGGACTCACACCTATTTGTTCCATGTACACCTGAGTTGCAGAGACAAGCCAGTAGGTATACACGCTCAGGTCTCACCTGGCCCAGAGGGCCTAGATGTACCCAATTCATACCTGGTTATTCAGAACACACGTGCACACATGTGAAGCCCCTGTGTGTTCAGAGAACAAATGTGCACACATATGCCTATGAGGCTGTGCTGCAGCCACAACTCACTGCAGGACACAGAGCACATATATATACCATGGCACAGAGGCAGGGATGCACATACACAATCACTGTACAGGGTCATCTGTGTGCACACACACGTGTACACCCCCAGAACAGGCAAGTATTTCCACACTCCCTGGTGCACGCATGCAATCACTGTACAGGGTCACCTGTGTGCACACACATGTACACCCCCAGAACAGGCAACTATATCCACACTCCCTGGTGCACGCATGCAATCACTGTACAGGATCACCTGTGTGCACACACACGTGTACACCCCCAGAACAGGCAAGTATATCCACACTCCCTGGTGCACGCATGCAATCACTGTACAGGGTCACCTGTGTGCACACACACGTGTACACCCCCAGAACAGGCAAGTATATCCACACTCCCTGGTGCACGCATGCAATCACTGTACAGGGTCATCTGTGTGCACACACATGTACACCCCCAGAACAGGCAAGTATATCCACACTCCCTGGTACACGTGTACAATCACTGTACAGGGTCATCTGTGTGCAAACACACGTGTACACCCCCAGAACAGGCAAGTATATCCACACTCCCTGATACACGTGTACAATCACTGTACAGGGTCATCTGTGTGCAAACACATGTGTACACCCCCAGAACAGGCAAGTATATCCACACTCCCTAGTGCACGCATGCAATCACTGTACAGGGTCATCTGTGTGCACACACATGTACACCCCCAGAACAGGCAAGTATATCCACACTCCCTGGTACACGTGTACAATCACTGTACAGGGTCATCTGTGTGCAAACACACGTGTACACCCCCAGAACAGGCAAGTATATCCACACTCCCTGGTACACGCGTACAATCACTGTACAGGGTCATCTGTGTGCACACACGTGTACACCCCCAGAACAGGCAAGTATATCCACACTCCCTGGTACACGTGTACAATCACTGTACAGGGTCATCTGTGTGCAAACACACGTGTACACCCCCAGAACAGGCAAGTATATCCACACTCCCTGGTACACGTGTACAATCACTGTACAGGGTCATCTGTGTGCACACACGTGTACACCCCCAGAACAGGCAAGTATATCCACACTCCCTGGTGCACGCATGCAATCACTGTACAGGGTCACCTGTGTGCACACAAACACACGTACACCCCCAGAACAGGCAAGTATATCCACACTCCCTGGTACACGTGTACAATCACTGTACAGGGTCACCTGTGTGCACACAAACACACGTACACCCCCAGAACAGACAAGTATATCCACACTCACTGGTACATGCATACAATCACTGTACAGAGTCATCTGTGTGCACACAGACACATGTACAACCCCAGAACAGGCAAGTATATCCACACTCCCTGGTGCACGCATGCAATCACTGTACAGGGTCATCTGTGTGCAAACACACGTGTACACCCCCAGAACAGGCAAGTATATCCACACTACCTGGTGCACGCATACAATCACTGTACAGGGTCATCTGTGTGCACACACATGTACACCCCCAGAACAGGCAAGTATATCCACACTCCCTGGTACACGCATACAATCACTGTACAGGGTCATCTGTGTGCAAACACACGTGTACACCCCCAGAACAGGCAAGTATATCCACACTACCTGCTGCACGCATACAATCACTGTAGAGTCATCTGTGTGCACACACACACATGTACAACACCAGAACAGGCAAGTATATCCACACTCCCTGGTGCACGCATGCAATCAGTGTACAGGGTCATCTGTGTGCACACACATGTACACCCCCAGAACAGGCAAGTATATCCACACTCCCTGGTGCACGCATGCAATCACTGTACAGGGTCATCTGTGTGCACACACATGTACACCCCCAGAACAGGCAAGTATATCCACACTCCCTGGTGCACGCATGCAATCACTGTACAGGGTCATCTGTGTGCACACACATGTACACCCCCAGAACAGGCAAGTATATCCACACTCCCTGGTGCACGCATGCAATCACTGTACAAGGTCATCTGTGTGCAAACACACGTGTACACCCCCAGAACAGACAAGTATATCCACACTACCTGGTGCACGCATGCAATCACTGTACAGAGTCATCTGTGTGCACACACACACGTACAACCCCAGAACAGGCAAGTATATCCACACTCCCTGGTACACGTGTACAATCACTGTACAGGGTCACCTGTGTGCAAACACACGTGTACACCCCCAGAACAGGCAAGTATATCCACACTCCCTGGTGCACGCATGCAATCACTGTACAAGGTCATCTGTGTGCAAACACACGTGTACACCCCCAGAACAGACAAGTATATCCACACTACCTGGTGCACGCATGCAATCACTGTACAGAGTCATCTGTGTGCACACACACACGTACAACCCCAGAACAGGCAAGTATATCCACACTCCCTGGTACACGTGTACAATCACTGTACAGGGTCACCTGTGTGCAAACACACGTGTACACCCCCAGAACAGGCAAGTATATCCACACTCCCTGGTGCACGCATGCAATCACTGTACAGGGTCATCTGTGTGCAAACACACGTGTACACCCCCAGAACAGACAAGTATATCCACACTCCCTGGTGCACGCATGCAATCACTGTACAAGGTCATCTGTGTGCAAACACACGTGTACACCCCCAGAACAGGCAAGTATATCCACACTACCTGGTGCACGCATGCAATCACTGTACAGGGTCATCTGTGTGCACACACACGTGTACACCCCCAGAACAGGCAAGTATATCCACACTCCCTGGTGCACGCATGCAATCACTGTACAGGGTCATCTGTGTGCAAACACACGTGTACACCCCCAGAACAGGGAAGTATATCCACACTCCCTGGTGCACACATGCAATCACTGTACAGGGTCACCTGTGTGCACACAAACACACGTACACCCCCAGAACAGGCAAGTATATCCACACTCACTGGTGCACGCATACAATCACTGTACAGGGTCATCTGTGTGCACACACATGTACAACCCCAGAACAGGCAAGTATATCCACACTCCCTGGTGCACGCATGCAATCACTGTACAGGGTCACCTGTGTGCACACAAACACACGTACACCCCCAGAACAGGCAAGTATATCCACACTCGGTGCACACATGCAATCACCGTACAGGGTCACCTGTGTGCCCACACACACATACACCCCCAGAAGAGGCAAGTATATGCACACTCGCTGGTGCAGGCATGTGCAGGACACACAGTCGCACCTGGTTGTAGAGGGCACAGATGTGCAGGGCTGTGTTCCCCGAGGCGTTCTGGGCCCCCATGTCTGCCCCATAGAACAGCAGGTGCTCCAGATGCTGCACGTGCCCAAAGCGGCAGGCCTGGGGGAAGAGCAAGGTGCTGTAGGGTCCCTGGGCAGAGGCTAGGGCCCCCACCCCTACAGACAGAGCCAGGACCCCCAACCCAGCACACAGAGGCCGGGACCCCACCTCGGCTCCCTGCACACCTGGTGGATCTCCTGCCAGCCATTCTCGTCGGTGATCCCCAGCTGAGCGTGGTCGTGGAGAAGCAGCTCACAGCAGAGGGCATCCCCACCCCCCAGGGCGCTGTGGTAGAGGGGTGTCAAGCCGCGGCTGTCCTTGTAGTCAGGTGAAGCCCCCAGGTCCAGCAGGGTCTGAGGGTGAGCAGCCTCAGTATCCACACCAGGCCCAGCTGCCCCCAGCCCCATCACCAGGCAAGAGCCCCTCCAGGCCAGGCCCCGCCCTCACTGACCGTCAGTGCTGCCGCATTCCGCTGGCGTGTGGCACAGTGCACGGCAGTGAGCCCATCGCGAGTGCGGAAGTCCAGGTGGGCACCACCATTCTTCAGCACCTTTAGCAGGTCCGTGGCGTTGTCCAGCTGGGCTGCGAGGCTCAGGGGGCACTCTGGGTTCACAGACAGATAAGGGTCAGGCTCCCAGCCGCGCAAAGGCCATGCCCCTCCCCGACTCCACTCCTCACCTCCTGAGTCAGGGTCATGGAAGTTGGGGTCCAGCCCCTTGTCCAACAGGCGTGCCACCTTGTCCGTGCTATGCAGCTGGACGTAGTCCATGAACTTCTTCAGGTTCGCCTGGAACACCGGCCGTCAGTCAGCCTGGCACCAAGGCCTCCATCATCTGAACATCACCCGCCTTCCTCCGGCAAGCCTCAGGCCACCTTCAGGCAACCCCCGCCACATCCCTACCAGTCTGACCTGTCACCTGACATCACAATTGTCAACCACGGTCCTGCACTCCCACCACGGCCCCAATTCCCACTCGGGTGGGCCCATGCACGGCTCAAAGCCCTTCCTTGCGCCCTGATAGCCAAACCAGTCACGACTGTCAGCTTGTACCCAAGTAGCCCCTCACCAAGGCCAGGTCACCCTGGTGGGGCCCCAAGCAAGTCCCCCACTCCAGGCCCAGTCACTGCCCTGGCTCCGTCTCTCCGGCCCTGCTGCCCCGACCTGCCTGGCCTAGAAGAGCCCGAGGTCCACCCAGGCAGGAACCAGCCCCACAGCAGCCCTGAATCCTCAGCACCCTGAGACAACCTGCTCCTTCTTCGGCCCATCTTCCTCTCCAGCTCACCCCACCGCAGACCCCCACCCCAGGGACCCATCCTGTGACATGACTTTGATGGCCTTGTACTCATTCACCCAGTTTATTCACTCACCCCACAAGGCCTCACTTCCCCAGCCGGCACTACGGACACCACACACACAAGGCAAGGTGCCCTGGCCAAAGGCCGGGGCCCTTCCATAAACACCCAGTGTACCTCAGAAATAGGGGAGGGTGCCATAGGGACCCCTGCCTTGGGAGGCAACCTCCTCAGGCGGGCCAGGCAGTGAAAGAGGAGGAAGTGCTCACTACCAGGGGAGAGGGAAAGGCCAGCTGGAGCCCAGGCAAGCAGAAACACGGGCTATGTAAGAAGTTCAGGCTCATCCTAAAAACAAACGAGACCTACTTCAGAGTGAGTCACTCATGTCTTGTTGGTCACTGAAGAGAGATCCGGAGGGAGAGGTGGCCATGGGGTAGGAACCCAGGCTGACAAGGTCAAGTGAGGGCCAGTGGCAGGAGAGGGGGACCTTTCCACAGTGGACTCTGCCCAGCCATAGTGCCAAGGCCGTTGACCACCGCCTGCCCTGGGGCAGCAGAAAAGCCTGGCACAGAAGCCTGAGGCTCCAAAGTCACTGATGGGACCATTAGGACACAGGGCTGACAGTTCTGATTCCTCTCCTGGGTTCCAGAGACCCTCCATTCTGACCCCTCTCCTGAGCTCGAGACCGCCCATAAAGTATCCAGCAAACAAGTGCCTGCTGGACTGTGAGCTGCGGGTGGAAGCCCCTGGGGAGGGGCTGTGGCACCCACCCTGCCCCTCTGACATTCAGCGGGAAATAGTAAGGTGCCCCCCTCAAGAGCATTTGGGGTCAGGCCCAGTTGGGGGTGGCACCCAGCAGTAGACACCTCAAAGGCATGCCTGGGCACAGGGCCTGGAATCAGACAGATCTGGGTTCAGCCCCAGCTTCACTGTCTACACAGTCGGGTACTCTGTGTCCCCATCTGTGAAACAGGGTTATAATAGTCCCTCTGGAAGAGGATTAATGAGAGGTCTAATCACAAATGCCTAGCACTGGTCGACCACTCGATGCTGGGTGCCTTGTCCCGACAGCCATCACATCAGATGCTTGTCCACTCCCTCTCCACCCAGCTTCTCACAGGACACTCCAGCCCCTAAGCCAGGGGGGTCGGCAAGAGTCTGATCTAACTGGAACACATCACTGTACCACCTGACCCCAACCATGGGGCCAGGAATCTGTGCCCAGCCCTTCAGCCACACCCAGTACAGGCTCTGGGCCCCTGATGATGGGGAAATGGACTGAGCTAAAGCTGGGGGACTGTGGTCAGCCCCAAGCTGGGGTGGGGGACAGCAGCCACAGGGAGGCAGGAGGGAACCTCAGGAGCCCCCTCCCCGTGATCCTTTACCTTTGTGTGAAGCTTTGCAAACTGCTTATCATCGATGAGGTTCTGGGCATAAACTCGCCGCTTGTATCGAAACTGCTCAGATAAAGAAAAGGTAGAGAAAATGCCCCCACCCCGGCTGAGCAAGTGAGTCCATGCACAAACCCCGTCCCGCTCATGCTGGCCACACCGCACCCCTCACTGCCCTCCTGTACACACCATCAGTCATACTACCACAGTGGACAGAGCTAACAGCTGCCATGCACCCACCACACTCAGGCATGATGCAGCCCGATGGAAGGCACGTGCCTAGCTGCCCGCAGCCTGCACTGTCCCGTCGCCTTCCCATCCCCAGGATTCTCGGCAAAATCCCACTCCTCTCTGAAGGCCTGATTCCAGGCTTACCATCCTAGACATCCCCCTCCACTCTCCAGGTAGAACTGACCCCACTTTCCTGTGCCACCACGGAGGCCCGCCCAACTTTGAGCTCAGCTCACAAAATCTTTATTCAATGCCCACTGCAGTTGGGCACCCCCCTCCACCCTGCCAAACTCCAAGACCTTCCACAGGACTGACCCCGTCTACGTCCCCATGCCTAGCAAGGCACTCAATACATCTTCACACCATGCATGGGTGAGTAAAGGAGGGGACTTGGTTGGCCTTCACAAGACTTCACAGCTGGAGAAAGGAACAAACGTGCACACAGATAGCCCTGCTCACACCACACACCCCTCTGGCACTCTCTCGTGCTCACACTCCTCCCTGGAGAACAATGCTCAGCGTCCACACCATCCATGCTGCTCAATGCACACACTGTTCAAACTACACACACCACACTGACTCTGTGGCACACAGCCCACACTGCACACACTGTGCACACTGTTCACTGTATACTGCGCATCCTGCTTACCACAATCACAACACTCACACTGTACTCACTGCCCCACACTGCAATGCTGTACACACTGCTCACTGCACACTACACACTGCACACCACTCACTGCACACACGGTACGTGCCCACTGCATACTTTGTGCACACTGACTGCACTGTGCCCACTCACTACACATGCTCACGGCACACAGCACACACCACTCACACTGTACATGCTGTGCACACTGCCCACTCACTGCACACACTGTGCCTGCTAACTGCACACACTGCCTGCTCACTACACATGCTCGCACACTGCCCACACTGTACATCCTTACTGCTCGCCCTGCCCGCTCACTGCACACACCGCGCCTACTCATCGCATACACTGTGTCCGCTCGCTGCACCCTGTACACGCTCACTGCACTCTGCACACAGCACCACACACACACACACACACACACACACACACACACACAGCCTCCACCCCTCACCCCTCCCACTTGTGTTTCCCCACTGCCGTGCCCTTCACTGGTCCCGCCACGGGGCTTGGTGATCCACCCTGCGCGCTCCTCAGCTCACCCCCGCGCCGGCCACTTACCTCCAGGTAGGGCAGGGGCGTGTCCAGGTTGGGCGGGTACTCCTGCAGGAGCCGCTCCTCATCCAGGAACTTGCCGGCGCGGCCCCGGGAGGGCGGCTGGAAAAGCCCATAGTTGAGCGCGTCCTGGAGGCTGTGGTTGAGGGCGCAGAGCACGCGCTGCTTGGCGGCCCACACGGGCGCGGCCGGGTCCAGGCGCAGGCACTTCTGCAGCGGAGCGGGCTCGTGAGCTCAGGTCCCGGGAGCGCGGACCCGCCCCGCCGGCCCCATGCGGGGTGCCGAGCCCCGGGCCCCCGCCGAAGGAGTCCGGGGCTCGGGTGCCGGCGCCCGGGACCCCGCGCCTCCGCGAACCGCGGCCGAAGCCCCGCCCCAGGGGCCGGGCTTCCCGGGGCCCCGCCCTGGCGATGGGGAGGGTCCCGGCGGAGGCGGCGGGGGAGGGGTGAGTAGCCGTGGGCCGGGGGTCCCGGGCGCCGGGCGCGCCCGGCGGGGGTGGGGGAATCCCGGGCGGGGAGCGCAGGGGCACGGCCGGGCCCAGGGCGGCGGGGCTCACCGTCTGCTGCAGGTCCGGGATGCCGACGCGCACGACCACGGCGCTGGCCCCGGGGCCGTCCATCCCCGCGCCGGGGCCCGGGCCGGGGCCGCTCGCGCCGGGGAACGGAGCGCCCGGGGACTCCGCGCGGCGCCCCGGCCCCCCCTTCCCCCCCGCCGGAGCCCCGTCGGCCGCGCTGCGCGGGAGGGGGCCGGGGGGGGCCGGGGCCGGGGCCGGCGCGGGGGACAGCGGCTCCGGGGGCTCCGCAGGGGCGGCGGCGGCGGCGGCGGCGGCGCGGCTCAGCTGCATCGGCCCCGGCTCAGCTCGGCGCCTGCCTTCCCCGGGGGCGGGGGCGGCGGGGGGAGGGGGCCTGAGACGGGAGGGAAGCGGGGGTGGCGAGGGGGCTGCGCCGGAGGCGGGGGCCGGGAGGGCTCAGGGCCAGTGCTGGGGGGTTACTTGCGGGGTCCCGGGTGGGGGCGGGAGGTGTGTGCGGAGGGCGGGGGCCGAGCCACGGGGCGGGGGTCTGGGGGGCTGTGACGGGGTTGGGGGGGGGAGTCCTAGGCCTCGGTGCGGGGGGAGTGGCTGAGCGGCAAGGGCGGGCATCCGCGGACCACCGGGGCGGGTGCGGCGGAGGAAGGGGTCCCGGAGCTGGGGTGGGGGCCGCGTCGGGGCACGAAGACCAAGGTAGGGCGAGAAGGGGAAAGAAAAACAATTAATTTCCGGAGGTGGCGGCTTCTCCCCCCCACTCCACCGACCCCCAGCTTCGGGCCTGGAGGAGATGGCGGGGACCTCCCCCCGCCCCAGGCCTGGGGGTCGGACCACGGGGACCTCCAGACCGGGGAGGGCCCGGGGCCCTTCCCACCGCCTCGGCGAGAGGCCCTCCGAATTAACCCTTTCGACCGCGCCCTGGCGTGTTCGGCGCGGCTCCCCCACGCCAGCCTAGTTTGGGGAGTTTGCTCCGGACTTCCCCCCAAGGACCCCTGGCCGGTCCGGATCCAACGCCTGTCGCCCCCTCCCCGTCACCTTAGCGACGGCGGGATGGGGGCGCGACCTACGGGGAAGGGCCTAGGGGAGGGGGCGCTACTAGTCTCCACCTGCGACTGGGAAGTGAATTTTAGTTTTACGCGTTGTCGTGGCAACGCGGGAGGGGGTGATGAGTGGGCGGAGGAGGGGGGAGCTCAGTAAAGAAACGAGCTCAGGCACCGCCGCCCCATCGGGGTGCACCAGGCCCCCCAGCCCTGAGCGGCCTCTCGGAACTGTCCTGCACTGCGAGCCCCTGTGCCCCCAAGAGCAGCCCCTAAGTCGAAATAGTTCCGCCTCCTGCAGAACTCTCCCAACCCGCTTTGCCTGGCGTTCCCCACCCCCCTCCTCCGCCCCCAAGCAGCCCCAGATCCTCCTAGAGGAGCCGCTGGCCCCCTGAGGGCAGAGCTTGAGAACGTTCACAGAAGAGCCCAGCCTGGGGAACCCCTCTGCCTAAGGAGGAAAACAGCCTCTAACCCCCAGCCTCCCCAAGAGCAGCTCCAGATCACCCACAAAACGGATTTTGCCTGAGCCTCCCAGGAATAACCTTGAACTGCTCCGGCCCCCATACACGCAGAAAAACCTCCCTACCCTCCCCCGCGTGACAACCTGGACCATCCTAAACACCCTGACCCACACAGAACAGAGCTTGGCACTCCCTCCAAGGACAGCCCCCACTCCCCAGCAGATCCACCTCGACCAGCACCTGCTCACCCCAGAGCACCCCTGACAGAGTGTTTCTGATGAGCCCTCTCCCCTCAAAACAGCCTCTGGTCAACCCCAGAGCAGGGCCTCACTTCCCTGGGACCAGTCTGGCTTCCTCCTCCCGCCTCCCCAGGACGCCACTGACCGGGCAGAGCGGAGCCTCCAGTGCGGTGTGTGGGTCACGTCCTGCGTTCTCCCCACGCCTAGACGGTTGCTCCCTGCCCAGGAACTGTGGTCCCAGCATCACAGGCCCCTCCCAAGGCCACTGGCCTGGCCTGAGTGGTGCAGCTGAGGGTCTCCCAGGGGAGGGGGCAGGATGGGAGGGGTGGGGGTCCCGGGAGCAGGGAGCAGGAAGGGGCCCTGGAGGCTCCCGTATCGGCAGGAAGCACCTTGGAAGGCACGAGGGCTGGATTTCCTGTGGCCCAGCCCTGGAGAGAGGAAACCAGTGCTTCCCGGCCCACCTCGTGTCTCCACCGTCTTCCTGCCCATGTCTCTCCCCCCGCTGTCACCCAGGCCCCCAACTCCCTCCCAACCCCTCCTTCAGCCCTAACCCTAACCTTCCTTGCCGTCCCTCCCACCGCAACCTCCACCTGCCTTTGCTCCCAGGTGCCGGCCCTTCATCCCACTGTGGCCAGCAGAAGGTGGTGGATGGGGCCTCCCAGTCCACCAGTGATGGACTCTCCGCAGCCAGGTCTTCCACAGCCCTGGGCCTCCTCCCTCTCCCTTGGTGTCTCCCTGCAAGCCTGCCCTCGGCTGGGTGGACCCAGAGACCCTGGCCGGCACTCCTCCGACCCTTAGACTGGACCTCTGGGCCCCACCAGCCGCCTCCTGCCAACCCACCAGCCCAGGTGAATCCAGCCACCCCAGGCCAGCACTGGGGCTGTGGCCACTGAGCATTTTGAGAGAAAATCTCACATCTTCACCAACCAGCAGCCCACAGATTGATGGTCCCCAGACTCAGCTGGGTCAAAGACCCACTGCCCGGGGCAACACCGTAGCCCCTGCCCAGTGCCGCCCTGAGCCTGGGTTCTGCACAGTGCCTGGCACGCATGATGCTCACATCGTGAAAAGAGTCCAAGCCTGAGTCACTCCCCAGCTCCACCGCCACCCCGGCAAACAGCAAAAATAACAATACCCACAAGCACTCACACACATGACGTCCTCTGGGCTCCGGGGGGGTTCCTGGAGAGGAAGCCAAGGGACACAGGATGTCTTTGCCCCTTACTTTGTTGAGAATAATCCCCAGGTTCCCCACGGCCTCCCCAAGCTTCCTGAGGACCCTCCCTCTGGCCCACCAGACCCCACCGGCCAGGCAGGGCCACCCTGGGCCCAGGTCTACCCCCTCTTCTCTCCCATCTCTGACCTGGAAGGTGGGGATTTACAGGACACCATGGCCCCTAGGGTTTTCCTTCCTTCCAACAGGGCCAAAATTCTAGAAAGATCTGTCCTTCTCACCATCCCCACTTCTTCCCCACCTGCCCCCACACACATTCAGACACAAATAGGCCTCACAAGGTCTGGGAGAGCTCATGTGGGCAAAGCACCCAGAATAGTGCTGGGTGCAAACCAACCCCTGGATGGACCCCAGCCCACTGCCCCGCTGCCACCCCAGGCTGAGGCCACTGCAAGGGCCCTCCCTGCCTCAGCACTTCCTGTGACACCCCCCAAACCTCGGCCCTCCTATCTTAATACACTCTCCAGCAAGGGGGCTCACACCCCCACCCACCTTCAGGACCTCAGGTGGGCCTGCGTTTGCCCACTGCTGGCTTCTCTCTTATCAGAGCTGTTGGCCTCACTTCAGCTGCACTCAGAGCTGTCCCCTCCCGACCCCTCACTATCGCTCCCCCGGCCCCTCTCACTCACTCCCTACCCTCCCTCTCGCTCAGCCCACAAACCCTGGGTGACCACTTCCCTGGAAAAGATTCCCAAAGGTGACACCAGCACCTGTGCTGCTCACCCCGCAGGCACGTTTCTGTCCTGTCCCACCTGACTTCCCCAGAACCTTCACCTCCCTTGGTTTCCACACCTCGGGAGAGGACCCTCTGCTCCCAGGCCATCCCCTCCACCTTCCTCTCCCAGGTGGGCCTGCCTGGCCCCACACTGCTCCACTGCCTCACTCTGGTCCCCTGCCTTCCTCCTGAGGCCCTTCTAGCATACTCTGACTCACTTATTTGTGCTTTAGTGTCTTTCTTTCCCTGCCAAAATATAGGCACCCAGTGGAGATTGACCTTTGCCGGTTTGGTCCACTGAAGTGTCCAAGCCCCTGGCACAGCCTGATGCGTGGCAGTGCTCCCGCTGTGTGGCGGGTCAGCACACCAGCCTCCATCTACAAGTCCACACCCAACTTCCCCTCTGCAGATCAGTCCCTCTCCCAGACTCCAGACCAGCTTGTGTAAGGCAGCCATCCTTGAATACACAGTATTTGCAGGGAGTAGAGTTTTTATTGCATCTAGTTATTGAATATCTATAGGTGTATTTAGGTTCCATTTTATCTTGAATCTTACTTAAGTTTTATTTTTCTAGGAATACAAATCTATTTCTAAATAATTAGCTTTTCCTTTTTTGATCATCTCTGTTTTCTATTTTATTCTGTTCTTATGTTTATTTCTTTACTTTTTTGAGTTTTATGATTATTTTTCTTTTTCTTTTTCTTTTTTTTTTTTTGAGACGGAGTCGCTCTGTCGTCCAGGCTGGAGTGCAGTGGTGCAATCTCGGCTCGCTGCAACCTCCACCTCCCGGGTTCAAGCGATTCACCTGCCTGAGCCTCCTGAGTAGCTGGGATTACAGGCACCCATGACCACACCCAGTTAATTTTTGTATTTTCAGTAGAGACGGGGATTTCACTATGTTGGTCAGGCTGGTCTCGAACTCCTGACCTCACGATCTGCCTGTCCTGGCCTCCCAAAGTGCTGGATTACAGGCGTGAGCCACCACGCCCAGCCTGATTCTTTTTCTAAATTGAGCTGGATGCTCATTAATTTTCAGTGTTTCTCTTTTGTCTTTTTTTCAGTGTTTCTTCATAAACCTATGAATTTCCAAGTACCACTTTCATTATGTCCCTTAAGCTTTCCTTTAAATTTTTTTTTTTTTTTACTTTTTAAAACTAGTCAAGTGAAACAGTGAGAGTGAAGAAGGAACAAGTAACTGGCTGGTTGTGATCAATTAGCTGTAAACGCCGCTGCACTCGGACCAGCCTTTTTTTTTTTTTTTTTTTTTTTTGGACACAGTATCACTCTGTTGCCTAGGCTGGTAGGATCATAGCTCACTGCAGCCTCCCACTTTCCCACTCCAGGGCTCAAGCCGTCCTCCTGCCTCAGCCTCCCAGGTAGTCGAGACTACAGTCACACACCTGTTCCCTTAATTCTTGATAAGTAGTATTTTCATTTAGTTTTGTTCTGAATTTCTTTTTTTTTTTTTTTTTTTTTTTTTGAGATGGAGCCTCGTTCTGTCGCCCAGGCTGGAGTGCAGTGGTGCGATCTCAGCTCACTGCAACCTCTGCCTCCTGAGTTCAAACAATTCTGTCTCAGCCTCCCGAGTAGCTGGGATTACAGGTGTCCACCACCATGCCCAGCTAATTTTTGTATTTTTTAGTAGAGATGGTTTCACTATGTTGGCCAGGCTGGTCCTGAACTCCTGACCTCAGGTAATCCACCCGCCTCAGCATCCCAAACTGCTGGGATTACAGGCATGAGCCACTGCGCCTGGACATTTTGTTCTGATTTTCTAATACCAATTATCTATTTTGGCTTGGGAATTGCTGAAAAGTATGCTTATTTATATTTTCAAATGCATATTGTTTTTTGTTGGGAGAAGACTAACCCTTGGTTATTGATATTTTATTATATATGGTCAGAGAAGGATCTGGATAATACTGATATTTTGAGGGTCTACAAAGACCCTTTCTTTGTATCCTACATGGTCCATTTTTGTAAAAGTTTCCTATTTATTCAGTAGGAATTGTTGGATACAGGTATTTCTATTCTTATCATATATATTGATATCATCTATATCATATGTATTGATTCATATATATGAATCAATAATTCATATCTATGGTACATATTAATTCATATGTATTCATTATATTCACATATAACTCCATTAGATCAAGCTTGTTTTATTCACATGTTCTGTGTACTTTCTAATATTTTGTCTGTTTGATTTATAAATTACTGAGACAGATGTGTTCAAATCTCTGCTGTGACAGTGGCTTTGTCAGTCTCTTCTTGAAATTTTGCCAATTTTGGTTTCATATACTTTATGGCTTTGTCATTAAATGCTAACAAGTTTAAAATTATTACAGCTTCCTGATAAATTCATCTTTTTATCATTATGTGAGGCCGCTCTTTATCTCTAATTGAGCTTTTTGTCTTAATTTTATTTTTTCCGACAGTTAATATAGCTACAACACACTTCTTCATGGCCTCATATCTCTTTCCATCATTTTCCTTTTATCCTTTCTGTCTTTATATTCAGTGTGCTTCCTAAATAGTATGTACAGCTAGATTTTTTTAAACCCAGTCTGACAATTTTTAATTTTTAAAAGTATGTATATTGTGATTAATGATATACTTTAACTGATTTTTACCATCTTATTTCACGCCATTTGTACTTTTTTCCTCTGCTTCTTTTTTCTCTTTCTGCCTCTATTGGATTGATCAAGTTTTCTTTATTCTCCTTTCCTCCAGCTCCCATTGGTTTGGAAGTTATGCATTCTCTTTCTGTCATTTTTATAAATACACTTAAACTTTGCACATGCGTAATTAACAAAGTCTAAAGTTAATTAGTATCTCTATCTTCCTTCTGTGTAATAAAAAGAATTTAGAATACTTAACCTCCAATCGCTCCTCTCATCCTATATAGGTTTTTGTCCATGTTGTTATCTCCAAATTAGTCATCTCTGTTATTACTAACCCTGTCGGAAAATAAATGCTTGTTTAGACTTAGTTACATGTTAACCAGTTTTGTTTTGTTTTGTTTTGTTTTGTTTCTGAGTCCCAGTTCCACTCTTGTTGCCCAGGCTGAAGTGCACTGGCTGGGTCTCAGCTCACTGCAACCTCTGCCTCCCAGGTTCAAGGAATTCTCCTGCCTCAGCCTCCCAAGTAACTGAGATTACAGGCACTCGCCACCACACCCTGCTAATTTTTGTATTTTTAGTAGAGATGGGGTTTCACCACGTTGGCCAGTCTGGATTTGAACTCCTGACCCCAGGTGATCCACCCGCCTCAGCCTCCCAAAGTGCTGGTATTGCAGGTGTGAGCCACCGTGCCCGGCCTTCTTGCCTCTCATTCTTTCCTTCTAGGTTCAATTTTCTTTTTCCTAAGTACATCCTTTAGACTTTATTTATTTATTTATTATTGAGACAGGGTCTCGCTCTGTCACCCAGGCTAGGGTGCAATGTTGCAATGTTGCAGTCTTGGCTCACTACAATCTTTGCCTCCTGGGTTTAAGCGATTCTCCTGCCTCAGCCTCCCAAGTACCTGGGATTACAGGCGTGCAACACCACGCCCAGCTAATTTTTAAAATTTTTTGTAAAGACAGGGTTTCCCCATGTTGCCCAGGCTGGTCTCGAACTCCTGACACTCAAGCAATCCACCTGCCTCAGCCTCCCAAAGTGCTGGGATTACAGGCATGAGCCACTGCGCCAAGCCTCTTCTTTGTTTTTAATCATTTCAGAAATATTTATTTTTAAGTTTCTAGTCAATAGTTTCATTATGTGAACTTTTTGATGGTCTGATTCTGCTTTTCGTGGCGTGGACTGATTCTTACACTTGGTGGATTGTTTCTGTGAGAATTTTATGACCAGGAGTTATGAGCTCATGTTGAGCCTGGATCTATGTAAGAACCTGAATAACCTGGATATGTCCCTTGTACCACTAGCCCAGCACTTCTTTTATGTCAATGCCTTGGCTTTGTGGCCAGGACCACAAAGGGTCATATAATTCAAACTCCAAAGCTGGCAATAGTGACAGTTTCACAGAAAAACTTTTTTTGCTTGGAACCACCACAAAGATTTATGAAAAATGTTTAAATGAAAAAGAAATGTGCAGTGAGAATTATGAAAATGGATTGTTCCCTAAGGTTTATGAGCACATACATGCCATTCTAAGTGTATTACACATATTAGCTCATTCGATCATCACAAAGTCACTCAGGGAACCACTGTTACTGTCCTCATTTAACAAGCGGTAACTTAACTTGTCCGGGGTCACTATGGCCAGTCAGTAGAGAAGCTGGTAGTCATGTTACCCAAGCGGGGCCAGTGTGAATCCTGTTCTGAGATAGTACGTGTCTTAAAATGAGGAGAATGGCCAGGCACGGTGGCCCACGCCTGTAATCCCAGCACTCTGGGAGGCCGAGGCCGGTGGATCACGAGGTCAGGAGATCGAGACCATCCTGGTTAACACGGTGAATCCCCGTCTCTACTGAAAATACAAAAACGTAGCTGGGCGTGGTGGTGGATGCCTGTAGTCCCAGCTGCTTGGGAGGCTGAGGCAGGAGAATGGCGTGAACCTGGGAGGCAGGGGTTGCAGTGAGCCGAGATCGCGCCACTGCACTCCAGCCTGGGCAACAGAGCGAGACTCCGTCTCAAAAAAAAAAAAAAAAAAAATGAGGAGACTGGTTCCACTCTTGGGATCTATAGGAGAACTGTGAACTCAGGAGCTGCTGGTGACCGAGTGGTAGCCTTGAGAAGAAAGCCACACTACCACACTACGGCCGGCATCTGGGGCCTACCATCCTGAACGCACCTTACATCCAAAGCTAAGCAGGCTCGAGAAGAAAGTCACACTGGAAGAAATAGAGATTGGGAGACAGGGAAGGTTCTGAAGGGGTTTGAGTTTCTAATTTTAGTCCCTGAAATCTGATAGCACTTCTGCAGTTTGGTTTCAAGGAACAATACATTTCCCAGAGAAGTTCAAGAGCTGGACTTGGAGCAAATGCCCAGCTCAGCCACCAAATACCCAGGTGGCCTAGGAAAGCTTCCTAGCCTTCCTATGTCTCCGTGTGTGCTCAGCTAAGCTGGGGACTATAGTACAAACTGTTTCATTTCCTCATTCATTCTGGCCAGATGGCAGGCCTGGTTGAGATGCAAGGTGTCTGCCTTCAGAGGCTCACAGGTCAGTTCTCAGCCTCCTGGGCCATTGTGTGGACTAGATGAGGTACGTGTGTGTAAAATGCTTAGCACATGCCTAGTACCTGGTAAACACTCTAAATTTTATCATCATCAAAGCTAGTTCAGATTTTGGAGTGTATTCTGATGAGTGTGTTCTCCATATCTAGCAGCAAAACAGCAGCGTAAAGGGATGGCTGATCTTTGTTGTATATTCTTAGAAAGAGTGTTAAATTTAAAATACTGTTTTAACATTGAAATGTGGAATTAGCCGGCCAAGGTGGTTCACACCTGTAATCCCAGCACTTTGGGAAGCCAAGGTGAGCAGATCACTTGAGCTCAGAAGTTTAAGAACAACCTGAGCAACAAAGTGAGGCCCCGTCTCTACAAAATTACGGACATTTGCCAGACGTGGTGGCGCGTGCCTGTGGTCCCGGCTACTTGGGAGGCTGAGGCAGGAGGATCGCCTGAGCCTGGGTGGTCAAGGCTGCAGTGAGCCGAGATCACACCACTGCACTCCAGCCTGGGAGACAGAGCGAGACCCTGTCTCAAAGGAAAAAAAAACGTGAAATTAAAAGTGAGAAATATTTGTCTAGTTAATTTCACATTTAGGGTTCCGAGTATCTTTTCATTCAAGACGATGTGTTTTGCCTGTGTTTACCTCTCCACTCTCTCAAAGGCCACTGACAATTTAAGATCTATGTACCTATTTTTATTGTAGTGAAAAGCACATAACATGCAGTTCACCATCATAACCGTGTTTAAGGGTACAGCACAGGAGAGACAAAAAGAATGAATTCCCTGTTCTACTGATTTCCCCTTATCAGTGCTGCGCTTGACTAGTCTTATAAAATTAAAGATTTAAAAATTTTATATATATATATATATATTTTTTTTTTTTTTGATACAGAGTTTCATTCTGTCGCCCAGGCTGGAGTGCAATGGCACAATCTCGGCTCACTGCCACCTCTGCCTCCCAGGTTCAAGCAATTATCATACTTCAGCCTCCCTAGTAGCTGGGACTATAGGTATGCACCACCATGCCTGGCTAATTTTTGTAGTTTTAGTAGAGATGGGGTTTCACCATATTGGCCAGGCTGGTCTCGAACTCCTGGCCTCAAGTGATCCACCCACCTCGGCCTCCCAAATTGCTGGGATTACAGGCATGAGTCACCACACCTGGCCCTAGAACTATGTATATTTTTAAATAATAAATCCATCCTCATGTTAGAACCATCAAATGGGTTATGACTGGAATGACGCAGATGGGATCAGAGATGAAGAAGCCAACAAAAGCCAGAGAGTCGGCCATACCACAAGAAGGACGTCCGGGCTGCTGGGGAATGGCTTATTGGCCATTCACATAGCTTCTTTCGTGAAGTGTCTGTTCTAGTCTATTGCCATTTTTAAAAACTGAGTGGTTTGAGTTATTAAAATTTAGGAGCTCCTTATATAATCTGGATACAAGTTTTTTGTTGTTGTTGTTGTTTTGAGACGGAGTCTCCCCCTGTCGCCCGGGCTGGAGTGCAGTGGCGCGACCTCAGGTCACTGCAAGCTCCACCTCACGAGTTCCCGCCATTCTCCTGCCTCAGCCTCCCGAGTAGTTGGGACTACAGTGGCCCACCACCACACCCAGATAATTTTTTTGTATTTTTAGTAGAGATGGGGTTTCGCCGTGTTAGCCAGGATGGTCGTGATCTCCTGACCTCGTGATCCGCCCGCCTCGGCCTCCCAAAGTGCTGGGATTACAGGCGTGAGCCACCGCGCCTGGCCCTGGATACAAGTTTTTATAAGATATATGTATTGCAAAAGTTCTCTAATTTCTTGGCTTGCCGTTTCATTTTTGTAATAGCCTCTTTCAAAGAACAAAAGTCTTGCATTATTATAGAATTCAATTTATCTTTTTTGTTTAATCGTTCTCATATTCTTTGGGTTCACTCTAAAAAATCTTTGCCTACCACAAGATCACAAAAATATTTTC
>NW_021160025.1:0-12295 GCF_000001405.40 Homo sapiens | reverse complement strand
CATGAACGAGGACCCGAGGGCAGGCTGCCCAGCGGGCCGGGCTCCCACCCGGGCAGGGCCTCAGGCAGCTCTGCGCGCCCTGGAGCAGTGGGAGGTGCCGGTTCGCTCATCTGGAAATGCCCCCGTCCCCAGCTCCCCTAGGCCTTCCCAGGAACACCCACAACGGTTCATCTCAGAATACCGATGACCAGTGGTTCCAGCACCATTTGCTGAGAAAATTTTCCTTTCTGCACTGGATGGCCCCTTTGCCAAAGATCAAAGGAGATGATGAGTTTCTGTGGGTGTATCCGAACTATCTGTTCCCTTCTGTGGATCTGTGCACCTATCACTTTGCCGATTCCACGTGGTCATCACTGCTGTGGCGCTATAGTAAG
This sequence comes from Homo sapiens, assembly GCF_000001405.40. NCBI lineage: Eukaryota > Metazoa > Chordata > Mammalia > Primates > Hominidae > Homo > Homo sapiens. The sequence goes on along the minus strand of NW_021160025.1, from coordinate 11,921 downwards.
TGTTAAACTCGGATAGTCAGCTGGGCGAGGTGGCTCACGCCTGTAATCCAGCATTTTGGGAGGCCGAGGCGGGAGGATCACCTGAGGCCAGGAGTTCAAGACCAGCCTGACCAACATGGCGAAACCCCATCTCTACTAAAAATACAAAAATTAGCTGGGTGTGGTGGCAGGCGCCTGTAATCCCAGCTACTCGGGAGACTGAGGCAGGAGAATCGCTTGAACCCGGGAGGTGGAGGTTGCAATGAGCCGAGATGGTGTCACTGCACTCCAGCCTGGGTGACAGAGCCAGACTCCATCTCAAAAACAAAGAAAATCGGATAGTCTGAATCCTACAACTATTTTCTTGCTTTCAAATTTTAGTTATTCTAATTAATTACCCTTCCATATAAAGTTTAAAATCAGTCTACATCTACCAAAGGAAAAAAAATCCTGCTGGAATTTTGCCTGGTTTTGTGTTAAATCTGTACATCACTTGGGGAGAAAGGACCTCTTTACTACGCTGAGCTTTCAAATCCACAAACCCAGTAAGTCTTTCCCTTTGATTATTTTCAAGAGCGTTTTATAGTTGCCAATGCACAGGTTTCGTACGTTGTGTTGGATTTACATCCAGGCATGTTTTGGAGCTATTGTAAATTATAACCTTAATATTTTTTGGCTTCCTATTGCTCACTGTTTGTATATGGGAATAAAACTGATTTATTTATTTATTTATTTATTTATTTATTTATTTATTTATTTTTATTTTTCAGACAGAGTCTCCCTCTGTCGCTCAGGCTGGAGTACAGTGGCATGATCTCGGCTCACTGCAACCTCCACCTCCTGGGCTCAAGTGATTCTCCTGTCTCAGCCTCCCTAGTAGCTGGGATTACAGGCGCCTGCCACCACGCCCAGCTAATTTTTGTATTTTTAGTAGAGACGGGGTTTCATCATGTTGGCCAGGCTGGTCTTGATCTCCTGACAAAGTGCTGGGATTACAGGCGTGAGCCGCTGTGCCAGGCCTTGATTAATTTCTATGTGTTGACCTTGTAACCTGCAACCTGGCTAAACGCATTCATTGGTTCTATGTTCTTTGTGGGGTTTTTTTTTTTTTTTTTTTTGTTCGTTTGTTTTTGTGACGGAGTCTCACTCACGCTGTCGCCCAGGCTGGAGTGTTGTGCTGTCATACAATCTTGGCTCACTGCAACCTCTGCCTCCCAGGCTCAAGTGATTCTCCTGCCTCAGCCTCTCAAATAGCTGGGACTACAAGCATCCACCACCATGCCCGGCGATTTTTGTATTTTTAGTAGAGATGGGGTTTCTCCATGTTGGACAGGCTGGTCTCGAACTCCTGACCTCAAGTGATCCACCTGCCTCAGCCTCCCAAAGTGCTGGCATTACAGGTGTTACCCATGGCACCCGGCCTTGTTCTTGGTTTCTAATAGGTTCCCTGGGATTTTCTACATAAATAATCATGTTTGTCTGCAAATCAGGGCACTTTCATTTCTTCCTTTCCTGGTGGTATGCCTTTTATTTCTGGTCTCTCCCTTTTGCAGTAGCCGGAACTTCCAGCATGGTGTTGATAAAGAGGGTGAGGGTGGAAATCCTTACCTTGACCCTGGTCTTAGGACCAGGGGGAAGGCATCTAGGCCTTCACCACAAAGTATGCAGTTAGCTGCAGGATATTTGTTGATGTCTTTTGTCAGGCTGAGGAAATTTGCTGGACGTAGAAGTCTGAAAAATGCTGTGTCTTTTCTTTGTAGCCCCTATGAGTTCTGATGAGAAATCCAGTCATTCAAATCATTTTTCTTTATAGATAATACATCTGTAGATAGATAATACATCGATTTTCTCTGGCTGCTTTTAAGATTTTTATTTTTATTTTTGGGGCAGAATTTTACTCTATCACCCAGGATGGAGTGCAGTGGCATGATCTCACTGCAACCTCCGCCTTCCGGGTTCAAGCAATTCTTGTGCCCCAGCCTCCTGAGTAGCTGGGACTACAGGTGCACGCCACCACACCTGGCTCATTTTTGTATTTTTAGTAGAGACGGGGTTTCACCATGTTGGCCAGGCTGATCTCGAACTCCTGACCTCAAGTGATCTGCCCACCTTGGCCTCTCAAAGTGCTGGGATTACAGGGTGAGCCACTGCGCCCGGCCTTAAGATTTTTTTGTCTGTAGTTTTCAGCAATTTAATCTTCGAAGTGTCTTGGAATGGATTTCTTCATTTAACCAGGATGGAGTTTGCTCTGCTTCTTGAATCTGTTGGGTCTTTTACTAAACTTGACAAATTTTTCAGCTGTTACTTCCTTGAATATTCTTTCAGCCTCGTGGTCTCTCTCCTTCTAGGACTCCAGTGACACAAATATTAGCCCTGTTATCATCCCACAGGTCCTAGAGTCTCTGTTCATTTTTTTAAAATTCTTTTTTCTCTCTCTTGCTCAGATTAATTTTAATTTCTGTGAACATACCTTTGAGGTCATTGACTCCTCTGTTACTTCAATTCTGCTATTGAATCCATCCAGTGAGTTTTTTCTTCAGTTACATTTTTCAGTTCTGAAATTTCCCTTTGGTTCTTCTTTACATCTTCTATTTCTTTTCTGAGTCCTTCTATTTTAATATTTGTGTCAAGACTGTTTGCAGTTGCTGGTTTGAGCATTTTTACAACAGCTGTTTTAAAGTCCTTGTCAGATGATTCATGCAAGCCACCGTATCATTGGTGTTCGTTGTTTTTCCATTCATGAGCTTAGATTTTTGCTTTCTTCATATGCCAACTGATTTTTGTTTCTATCGTGGAAATGTTGAGTGGTGTATTATGACTCTCCGGTCTTTATTTTTTGTCATTCTTATTTTAGTCTCTTGTGCAATGTGGTTCCAGTATCAGTTCATTTTCCAGCCTTTACTGTTCTATTCAGGACTAGCCTTCGTGTGCACCACCTAGTGGTCACTCTGAGACCTCAGTGGAGGTCGGCCTGTTAGATCAATTCTCCAAGTATGTGATATGCTAATTAGAAGATCCACACACATGCAGATTAGGAGTGAACCTGGGAGTTTTAGGCTTTTTATTCACAACAGCATTAAAAAACAATAAAATACCAACCAGGCGCTGTGGCTCACACTTGTAATCCCAGCACTTTGGGAGGCCAAGGTGGGTGGATCACCTGAGGTCAGGAGTTCAAGACCAGCCTGGCCAACATGGCAAAACCTCGTCTCTACTAAAAATACAAAAATTAGCCAGACGTGGTGGTGCACGCCTGTAATCCCAGCTACTCAGGAGGCTGAGGAAGGAGAATTGCTTGAACCCAGGAGGTGGAGGTTGCAGTGAGCCGAGATTGTGCCACTGCACTCCAGCCTGGGAGACAGAGGGAGACCCTGTCTCAAAATAATAATAGTAAAATACCTAGGAATAAGTTTAACGAAAATAGTGCAAGACTGGTATGCTTAAAACTGTATAGCATTTCAAAGAGATATTGAAGATCTAAATGAATGGATGGACATTCAGTATTTGTGGATTATAAGACTCAATGTTAAGATGACAATACTCTCCAAATTGGTTTGTAGGTTGAATGCAATCCCTATTGAAATGTGAACAGGCTTTTTGGGTTTGCTTTTTTTTTTTTTTTTTTTTGCAGAAATTATCAATCTGATCATAAAATTTATATGGAAATGCAAAGGATCCAGAATAGCCAAAATAATTTTGAAAGGGAACAAAACTGGAAGATTCACACTTTCCATTTTAAAACTTACTATAAAACTACAGTAGTAGAGTGTGTGCTGGCATGAGAATCAAGATATAGATCAATGGAGAATCCAGCAATAAACCCAAACATTTAGGGTCAGTTGATGTTTGACAAAGGTGCCAAGGCTTTCAGTTGGGGAAAGGACTCTCTTTTTAACAATGGTTCTATGACAGTTAGATATCCACATGTAAAAACATGAGTTTAGACCCCTACCTCACTCCTTACACAAAAATTAACTTGAAATGAACCATAGATAGACCTAAATGAAAGAGCTAAAGCTATGAAATGGTTAAAAGGACGCATGAGGGGAAATCTTCGTGACTGACCTTGAGTGAAGCAAAGTGTTCTCAGCTGCAAGACCAAAGGCAGGATCATGAAGGAAAATAGAGATAAATTGGATTTGATCAAAACTGAAAATGGTGTCCTTCAAACAACGTCATTAAGAAAACAAAAATTGGCTGGGCACAGTGGCTCACACCTGTAATCCCAGTACAATAGGAGGTCGAGGCAGGAGTATCACGAGCCCAGCAATTTGAGACCAGCCTGGGGAACATAATGAGACCCTGATTCTACAAAAACAAAATAGAAATGTAAAAAATCACGCCTGTAATCCCAGCACTTTGGGAGGCCCAGGTGGGCAGATCACCCAAGGTCAGGAGTTCGAAACCAGCCTGACCAACATAGTGAAACCCCGTCTCTACTAAAAATACAAAAATTAGCTGGGCGTTGTGGCATCTGCCTATAAACCCAGCTACTGGGGAGACTGAGGCAGGAGAATCGCTTGAACCTGGGAGGCGGAGGCTGCAGTGAGCCGAGATCGTGCCATTGCACTCCAGCCTGGGCAACAAGAGTGAAACTCTGTCTCAAAAAAAAGAAAGAAAAAGAAAATAAAAGTTTTTTGTTACGTATATTTTACAATTAATAATAAATATATTTTAAAAAATAAGACAACCCAAGTAAAAAAAGAAGGCAAAAATTTTATTAGACATCTCAACAAAGAAGGTACATAAATGGCTTTGTCTTTTAAACACATGACGAGATGCTCAACATCATTAACTACTGGGAAAATTCAAATCAAAGCCCGTGGGAGCCCGCTCTGGCACGTGCCTGTGGGTCAGCCCTGCTCTGCAAAGGGCGGCAGGGAAAACGCCCAGTGGGTTACCACTTCACACACTTGTGTGTAACAAAAAAGGGCGATAAGAAGAAGGGGTGACAAGGGCATGGGAACACTGGAAACTTCATACGTTTCAGACATATGAAAAACGTATAGCCGCCAGGCATGGTGGCTCACACCTGTAATCCCAGCACTTTGGGAAGCCGAGGCGGTCGGATCACTTGAGGTCAGGAGTTCAAGACCAGCCTGGTCAACATGGCGAAACCCTGTCTCTACTAAAAATACAAAAATTAGCTGGGTGTGGTGGTGCATGCCTGTAATCTCAGCTACTCCGGAGGCTGAGGCAGGAGAACTGCTTGAACCCGGGTGGCAGGGGTTTGCAGTGAGCTGAGATCACACCACTGCACTCCAGTCTGAGTGACAGAGGGAGACTCTGTCTCAAAAAAAAAGAAAAAAAAAAAAGAAAGAAAAGTAGCTGGTCATTGTGGCAGGCGCCTGTAATCCCAGCTACTCAGGAGGCTGAGGCAGGAGAATCACTTGAACCCAGGAGGCGGAGGTTGCAGTGAGCTGAGATCAAGCCATTGCACTCCAGCCTGGGCAACAGAGTGAGACTCCGTCTTAAAAAAAAATAAAAAAATTTAAAAAAAGTATAGCCAATTTCTTCACAAGTAAAATGTATATTTACCGTCTGACCTAACAATGCCATTCCTATGTCTCCACCTGAGAGAAATGACAACATATGTCCACACAAGGAATTGTACCTTCACTTGAGCAACAGAGTAAGACCTCGTCTCTACTAAAAAAAAAAAAAAATTAGCCCGGTGTGGTTGTGCTCGCCTGTAGCCCTGGCTACTCAGGAGGTGGCTGGTGCCAGAGAATCGCTTGAGCTCAGGAGGTAGAGGCTGCAGTGAGCCATGATCATGCCATGGCACTCCAGCCTGGGTGACAGCTAGATCCTGTCGCAAAAACAAAAAACCATAAACAATTCTACCTGGATGTTCATAGCAGCTTTATTAATAACAGCCAAAATATGGAAACGGCTCGAACGTCCATCAGCTGGTGAATGGCTAAACAAAATATGGCTTTGCCGTACAATGGGAGAGAATTATAAGAACTACCCACCCATGATGCTACAGTGTGGACCAACCTCAAAGGATTATGCTCAGTGAGAGCAGCCAGACACCAAAGACTACCAGTTGTATGATTCTATTTATGCGGAATTTCCAAAAAAGGCAAATCTATCAAGGCGGAAAGCAGGTTAGAGTTTGCTTAGGGCTGGGGGTGGGAAGAGGAAGTGACTGCTCATGGCTGCGAGGGGACTTCGAGGTGATGGAAATTTCTAAAATTGGAGGGTGGTGATGGTTGCGCTGAAATCATTGAGTCGTGGGTGGATCACTGAAATTGCTGGAAGTGGGTGGATTTTATGGTATGTAAATCACACCTCAATAAAGCTGTTTTAAAAATACCTTTCACAGATTTTATTAGATTTCCATTTACATCTGAGAAATGTTTAAAGTGACTCAGTATTCGTTTCAGAGGAATTTTTTTTTAATTAATTTAGCCAGTGGAAAGAAATGAGCCTGCCCTGGAGGTGCCCCCGGTTGGACAAGAACTCCTGTCCCCACCCCAGCAGTAAGTCCTGGCCCCACGGCCTCCCACCATGGCCTGTCCCCACCCCAGCAGCCCCATGGCCCCACAGCCTGTCCCCACCCCGGCAGCAGGTCCTACCCCACAGCCTCCCCCACAGCCTGTCCCCACCCTGGCAGCCCCATGGCCCCAAGGCCTGTCCCCACCCTGGCAGCAGGTCCTGGCCCCAAGGCCTGTCCCCGCCCTGGCAGCAGGTCGTGGCCCCACGGCCTCCCTCGACGACCACTCCGGAGCCCCGCCTGCGCCTGCCCGGCTCCCCGATCCCTCCGGCCTCCTTAGGGAAGGAAGTCTTTCCCCAAAGGAACTTCCACCTCCCTCCCTATCTCCCTGCTGGGTTCTGCCACCACACACACCACACACACAACACCACACACACACAGCACACACCACACACACACCACACACAGCACACACCACACACAACACACATGATATATACACACCACACACACCACACACACAGCACACACCACAAAACACATAACACACACACCACACACAACACCACACACAGCACACACCACACAACACATGACACACACACCACACACACACCACACATGATATATACACACCACACACACCACTAAACACATGACACACACACCACACACAACACTAAACACCACGCACACCACACACACAGCACACGCCACACACAGCACACACCACAAAACACATGACACACCACACACACCACCACACATGATATATACACACCATACACACACAGCACACACCACAAAACACATGACACACACACCACACACAACACACCACACAAAACCACACACACAGCACACACCACAAAACACATGACACACACACCACACATCACACATGATATATACACACCACACACACACCACACACCACTAAACACCACACACAGCACACATAATAACACACATGATACATACATACCACACACAACCACACAACACCACACACACATAACACACACCACACACATACAGCACACACCGCACACAACACACCACACAAAACACCACACACCACGCACAACATACTACACAAAACACCACACACACAGCACACACCACAAAACACATGACACACACCACACACACCACACGATATATACACACCACACACAAACACCACACACCACAAAACACCACACACCTCAAAACATCACACACACCACACACAATACCACACGATATATACATACCACACACACAACACACACCATACAAACACAGCACACACCACACACACAACACACAACACCATACATGATATATACATACCACACACCACAAAACACCACACACACCACAAATACCACACATGATATAGACACGCCACACACAAACACCACACACCATAAAACACCACACACGCACTAACACACCATACACAGCACACCACAAAACACATGACACACACACCACACACACCACACGATATATACACACCACACACAAACACCACAAAACACACCACACACACGCACCACACGCAATACCACACATGATATATACACACCACACACAAACACCACACACCACAAAACACCACACACAAACACACACCATACAAACACAACACACAACACACATGATATATACACACCACACACAAACACCACACACCACAAAACACCACACACACGCAACACACACCAAACACAACACACAACACCACACAGGATATATACACACCACACACAAACACCACACACCACAAAACACCACACACACAACACACACCATACAAACACAACACACAACACCACACGATATATACACACCACACACAAACACCACACACCACAAAACACACACGCACAACACACACCATACACACACCACACATGATATATACACACCACACACAAACACCATACACCACAAAACACCACACATGCACTACACACACCATACACACACAGCACACACCACAAAACACCACACACCCCATACATACACAACACACATCATATATACACACCACACACAAACACCACACACCACAAAACACACACACAACACACACCATACACACACAGCACACACCACAAAACACCACACATGCACAACACACACCATACATGATATATACACACCACACACAAACACCACACACCACAAAACGCCACACACACCACGCACACACACACCACGAACAATACCATACATGATATATACGTACCACAAACACCACACACCACAAAACACCACACACACACACAACGTACACCATACAAACACAGCACACAGCACACACACAACACACACCACACATGATATATACATACCACACACCACAAAACACCACACACACCACACACACACCACAAATACCACACATGATATATACACGCCACACACAAACACCACACACCACAAAACACCACACACACACAGCACACACCACACAAACACAACACACAACACCACACATGATATATACACACCACACACAAACACCACACACCACAAAACACCACACACGCACAACACACACCATACACACACAGCACACACCAGTAAATGCATGACACACATCACACACAACACACATGATATATACATACCACACACAAACACAAAACACCACACACACACAACACACACCATACACACACAGCATACACCACAAAACACCATACACACCCCATACACACACAGCACACACACACCAGTAAATGCTTGACACACACACCACACACACCACACATGATATATTCACACCACACACACACCACACACCACAAAACACCACACACAACACACACCATACAAACACCACATGCCACAAACACACCATACTCACTATACCACATACACTATACACAACACCACACACGATACATACACACCACACACAAACACCACACACAACACAGACACAACACACGACACAAATACCACATACCACAAACACATCATACCCACCATACCACATACACACACTATATACACCACACAATGCAAAACACATGACACACCATACACACCACCACATGATACATACACACCACACACAAACACCACACTCCACAAAACACCACACAACACACACCATACACACACAGCACACACCACAAAACACATGACACACACACCACACACCACACATGATATATACACACCACCCACAAACAGCAGACACCAGAAAAGACAACACACAAAACACGACACACATAACACGATACACACACCACACACCAATGACATACTCTATACATAACACCACACGATACATACACAACACACACACCATACACAATACACACGATACACACACACTACACACCATACACAAACACCATACATAAACACCACACACAACCACACATCTTACACAAACACTACACACCACACAATACACATAGCACGCACACACACACACTATACACATCACACACACATCACACCACACACACACACACACACACACACCCCATCTGCTGGAACCTCCTGGAGGGTGGCCAGTGGCCTGTGGGGTTGCCAGGGGGCCGTGGGTGGGACCGGGCCAGGAAGGGATTTCCTCAGGTGTGGAGACTCGGCCCCGGCCCTGCCTGCCCCTCCAGTGGGACCAGGGAGGAGGAGGCGGGGGTGGGAAGGGACCCAGCACCTCGCGGGGACACAGAGCCAGACTGGAGGAGGTGGGGGCGCAGCGCCAGAGGGACCTACGGGACACAGGAGGCTGGGGGCGGTGGGGCCGGGGTCTGGGGAAGTGCAAAGCTAGGAAGAGGTCCAGGCGGGGCTGCGAGACGAGGGTGCCCGCGGGTGGTCGCGCAGCCCGAGGTAGGGGCGGCGGGCCCAGGTGGGAGGGTCCAGGAGAGGAGGTCAGGGCTTTGTAGGGGGTCCCGCGGACCAGGCAGGGTGCGGCTGCCTGAGGGGCAGGAACCTGGAGGACTCCGCCAGGCTGGGGCGCAGGGGAGGCGCATGGGGCGTGGGCGCCCACCCAGGGGCCCACGTGGGAAGCCCCCGCAAAACCCGACGTGGGCGCCGAGGTGGTGGGGACGCCCCGACGGTGCCCCCAGCCTGGCTAACCATTCCCGCCGCAGACCCCTCCCCGCAGGCCAGGGCTCCTCCACGCGGTGCCCCGAGGTCCCCAGAGACGGGGGCCTGAGCTGTGGATGGGATGAAGGGGGTACCCACTCCCCACCCACCCGCCAGAGAGCAACCTGCTCGCCTTCTGCTACCTGCGCCGACCCTACTGACTGACCTCAGGGCAGGCGGTCTCCAGCTCCTTTTCCCCAGGAGGGAGGAGACCCGGGGGGCAGAACCCCACTGGGCGCCCCACAGCCAGACGCTGGACGGCCCCGCACCTGCCCCCGCAGCCCGCCTGGGACCGGGCTCTCCGTGGAGGGCTGGCCTGGGGCCCCGCCAGTGCTTGCACCTGTGGTCCTGGAGACAGTGCGCCCGCAGGTGCCCTGGTGGGTGGAATCTTGGCCCCTCTCCCCTCCCTCCTCCTGCCCCAGGGACCCTGCCGGCCCAGGCAGCCCACAGCTCATCTGGCTGTCGGGGCGCAGCGGCCGCAGCAGGGCCTGGTGTCAGGTGCCGGGCCCTGGAGACCGCGTGTGGTGGGGACGGGGACAGAACGTACCGAGGCTGGGCCAGGGTGTGGGGGCGGGGAGGTCCGCGGGCCACAGTCCTCGGTCTCTCCCCGGACTCCGCGCCACGCCCGCTTCGGACAAGCGCGTCCTCGGCGCTGGGGAGGGAGGGGCCTCGCGTGGGCCGCGTCCGTGGGCGGGGTCCTTTTGGCCAGCCCGGCCTCCTCGGCTCCCGGGTCAGGCCGACCTTTTACCTCCCGATCCGCACCATCCTCCCCCGCCTTAAAGATCTGGCCGGCTCCGCCTGCGCCGCTCCCCAAAGCGCATTCCCGCTCCCCACGCGCCCTGCTCTCTGCGCCGCCCCCCGGCCCCCAGATCCGCCTCCTCCTGCGTCGTCGGCGCCCAGGAACCCACCCCGGCCTCGCGTTCCCCTGTGCTCGCTCGCAGCGGCTCCCCCAACTATGGGGGACACAGGGCCCGGAAATGTTCTTAAACCCCATCCGGGGCCCCAGACGGTCCAGCCCGCATCGCACACGGGAACACGTGTGTGCCCCCAAAGCTAGGACGCGCCTGTGACCGGCTGGTCGGGGCCCCAGCATCCTTGGACAGGACAGGCGGGTGGGCAGGGCCCGTGTGCTCCACTGTGCTCTCCGTTCGCCTCTCAGCTCCAGACTCCTCCCCTGTCACCAGCGTCCCCCTTCACCGCCTCCGGGAGGTGCTGAGTCACAGGAGGCGCCCCCACGTGCTGCTGTGCCCTTTGAGTGAAGGGAGGGTGAGTCACGCGGTGGCAGCGGCCACGTCATTTGGGGGCGGGGGAGGGGAGAACTGCTAGTCTTGGCTCCAGGCTCTTCCTAGGCCAGGTCCTGCCCAGGTGCAGACGCGTGCATGCACACACACGTGTGCACACACAG